>NC_000017.11:2309292-2460807 GCF_000001405.40 Homo sapiens | reverse complement strand
GTTCAAGTGATTCTCCTGCCTCAGCCTCCCGAGTAGCTGGGATTACAGGCATGTGCCACCACACCAAGCTAATTTTGTATTTTTAGTAGAGATGGGGTTTCTCCGTGTTGGTCAGGCTGGTCTTGAACTCCCGACCTCAGGTGATCCACCCGCCTTGGCCTCCCAAAGTGCTGGGATTACAGGCGTGAGCCACCGCGCCCAACCCTCATTATGGCTTTTGAGGGAACTAGAGCCAGCCAGGAAAATGGGGAACTGTAGGTGGCTCTACTAGGCTACAATAATAATGGGGTTGTTTTTAGGAGGCTTTTAAACAGTAAATTTCTGTTATTTCCAAAGTACCATTTGAACTACAAAAATATGTTTGAATAGAACACCATTCTAAGGGGTAGAAATGGACTCAGTATGTTCCTAGTCTGCTTATACTTGGCTCTGTGGCAGCCTGCAAATTGAATGAAGGGTGTAAATTTGCTAGGAAGGATAAAATGCAAGAGCCCATCCCAGCTCTGGAGAGCTGGCCATTTTGTGCTTGGTCTCATATATGGGAAACACTGCCCTTTAGGATTTATTTAAAACAGGGTGCAACTTTCTTCTCTGTGAGGACTCAAGCAGTTTGAGAGTTTAGATGAAAGAAAGGAAGAAATGAAGTGATTTTTACTGAGAAGAAACTAGAACAGTGTTTTGTGAAAGGGTGTTGCTTGCAAGTATTGTTTTCACTCACATCCTACCATGATGACTTACATTTGTACAACTACCAGTTCGTGTCCCCATGCATGTATATATACACATATATACACATACGTTTTCTGAGATGGAGTTTTTGCTCTTGTTGCCCAGGCTGGAGTGCAATGGTGTGATCTCAGCTCACTGCAACCCCCGCTTCCTGGATTCAAGCGATTATCCTGCCTCCGCCTCGAGAGTAGCTGGGATTACAGGCATGTGCCACCATGCCTGGCTAATTTTGTATTTTTAGTAGAGACAGGATTTCTCCATGTTGGTCAGGCTGGTCTCGAACTCCTGACCTCAGGTGATCCGCCTGCCTCGGCCTCCCAAAGTGCTGGGATGAAAGGCATGAGCCACTGCGCCCGGCCCCCATGCATATTTTTATAGTTGACATCATAATGTTTATACAACCGTGTGACTCACATTTCAGAATGCTCTGAAAATTGTGTATTTTGAAGCTCTAAAAAATAAGAGATTATAAACAAGTGCCTTAACCCTACCATCTGTTTCTTATCCCTGTAGAATGTTTTTCTCCTTGTCCCTGAAGAAATACAGGAACTAAGCAGAATTTGCAGCATTATGGGGTGAAATAAGTTAAATGTGTTGGACTGACCTCAGGATGGCGCTTGTGATGCCTCGCCTCCCCTGGGAGGTTCATGTCTCACCTCTGTCATGCTCAGCAGCAGTTAACAGTTTTGTTTTGTATCTTAAGGAATTTTGCAGCTGGAAAGACCTTGAGAGGTAAAGTTATCCAACCTCTTGGTTTACAGACTGGAAATTAGAACTCAGATATCCTCATTCTAGTCCAGTGGTCTTTCCACCACCCCTTGCAGCCTCTGCAGCTCTAAGCTGCAGTTGGACTCTGTGAAGAGCCTTTCTGTCGTTGATGAGGATTTACAAGTGCTTGTCACCCTTACTTTGGCTTTTTGTGCCTGTGGCTTGAGCTTACTTAATAGCTTTTTTTTCTCAAGTGACTCACCCAGTCCGGGCACAATGGCTCACACCTGTAATCCCAACACTTTGGGAGGCTGAGTTGGTGGATCACTTGAGCCCAGGAGTTCAAGACCAGCCTGGGCCACATGGCGACACCCCTTCCCTACAAATAATACAAAAATTAGCTGGATGTGGTGGCACATGCCTTTAGTCCCAGCTACTCGGGAGGCTGAGGTAGGAGGATCGCTTGAGCCCAGGAGGTCGAGGCTACAGTAAGCCGAGATTGTACCACTGCACTCCAGCTTGAGTGACAGAGTGAGACCCTATCTCAAAAAAGAAAAAAAAAAAAGGGACTCACCCATCTAACCTTCTAGATAAATTACCAGACTTTATCAAACTCCTCATGGCCTGAATTGTGTGTGAGTGTGTGTGTATGTGTGTGTGTGTCAGAGTCTTGCTCTGTCACCCAGGCTGCAGTGAGGTGGAGTGATCTTGTCTCACTGCAACCTCTGCCTCCCAAGTTCAAGTGATTCTCCCACGTCAGCCTCCCTAGTTGCTGGGATTTCAAATGTGTACCCCCACACTCAGCTGATTTTTGTATTTTTATTAGAGTCAGGGTTTCACCATGTTGCCCAGGCTGGTCTGGAACTCTTGAGCTCAAATGATCTGCCCCCCTTGGCCTCACAAAGTGCTGGGATTACAGGTGTGAGTCACCACACCCTGGCCCTGAATTTTTTTTTTTTTTAATTTATTCTCCACACCATAATTTTGTATGTTTTGGATTCTCTCTTGTCATTGGTTACCAGTTCTATAACTGATGCCCTTTATGGCAATGATTTTAGGCTTTTCTTAGGAACCAGAGATCTGTATTCTACAAAGCACCAGCGTGTCCCCTGCCAGATGATGGATACTGCTTGGATTTGGATATAATCCACCTATTTTGGGATGGGTAATAAATTTAATAATCTGGGCCTAGGCCAGGCACAGTGGCCCATACCTATAATCCTAGCACTTTGGGAGGCTGAGGTAGGACGATCAGTTGAGCTCAGGAGATTGAGACCAGCCTGGGCAACATAGCAAGACCCCATCTCTACAAAAAATTTAAAAATTAGCTGGGTATGGTTGCACGTGCCTGTGGTCCCAGCTACCCAGTAGGCCAAGGTGGAAGAATTGCTTGAGCCTGGGAGGTTGAGGCTGCCATGAGCTGTGTTTATGCCGCTGCACTCCAGCCTGGGTGACAGAGCAAGAGCCCGTCTCAAAAATTGGTAATAATCTGGGCCTTTTGAATGTGATTCTTTGGTTTGAAATTTTGATTTATCATTGGTAAAATGGAATGATAGTAGCTATCTCATAAAGTGGTTATAGAATTAAATGAATACATATTTGACATAATAATAATAGTGGATATTAAATAGGGTGATTTTTAACTCTTTTTTTTTTTTTTGAGACAGAGTCTCGCTCTGTCATCCAGGCTGGAGTGCAGTGGCGTGATTTTAGCTCACCGCAACCTCCGCCGTCTCCTAGGTTTAAGCAATTCTCCTGCCTCAGTCTCCCAAGTAGCTGGGATTAAAGGCACGCGCCACCATGCCTGGCTAATTTTTGTATTTTTAGTAGAAATGGGGTTTCAGCGTGTTGGCCAGGCTGGTCTCAAAACTCCTGACCTCAGGTTATCCGCCTGCCTCGGCCTCCTAAAGTGCTGGGATTACAGGCGTGAGCCACTGTGCCCGGCCGATTTTTAACTCTTGACTATTCTAGGAGGTTGCAGCATGTAGTATAAATGTTAGATAATGACTTTTTTTTTTTTTTTTTTTTTTTTTGAGACGGAGTCTCGCTCTGTCGTCCATGTTGGAGTGCAGTGGCGCGATCTCGGCTCACTGCAACCTCCGCCTCCCAGGTTCACGCCATTCTCCTGCCTCAGCCTCCCTAGTAGCTTGGACTACAGGCGCCCGTCACCACGCCCAGCTAATTTTTTTTTTTGTATTTTTAGTAGAGACGGGGTTTCACTGTGTTAGCCGGGATGATCTCGATCTCATGACCTCGTGATCCACCCGCCTTGGCCTCCCAAAGTGCTGGGATTACAGGCGTGAGCCACCACGCCCAGCTGACATTATTATTTTTATAATTTTGTTATCTCTTAAACAATATAACCACACTTACAGGAAATTAGAAAATGGAGAAAGCTGCTTTGGCATTTAAAAAAAAAAAAAAGGCCGGGTGCATGCGCCTGTAATCCCAGCTACATGGCAGGCTGAGGCAGGAGAATCACTTACCTGGGAGACAGAAGGTTGCAGTGAGCTGAGATTGAGACAGTGTACTCCAGCCTGGGCAACAGAGTGAAACTATGTCTTAAAAATAAATAAATAAATACAAAATAAGTAGCTTGACAGTCCGGGTGTGGTAACTCATGCCTGTAATCTCAGCACTTTGCAAACCTGAGGCTGGAGGATGGCTTCAGGCCAGGAGTTCAAGACCAGCCTGGGCAACATAGCAAGACTCTGTGTCTACAAAAAATCAGCCTGGTGTGTGGTGGCATGTTCCTATAGTCCCAGCTACTTGTGAGGCTGAGGCCTGAGGATCACTTAAGTCCAGGAGGTCAAGGCTGCAGTGAGCCATGATCACACCATTGCACTCCAACCGGGGCAACAGAACGAGACCCTGTCTCAGTCAATCAGTCAGTAGCTAGTGAGCTTAACAACAGTCCATAATTAACTAATTCTTTGTTATTGGGCATTCAGAGGTTTTCTTGTTTTCACTGTTAAAAAGAACATACCACTTCTTGTTTCTTACTGAACTGCCATCTGTTGAGGCTGTTATGAATGGCTACGTTTGACCCCTGCTTTCATCTTTGACTGGGACCCAAAGTAGGGTTGTCAGTCAGTAAAGGTGTTTTAGGGTATCATTACAAAGAATTGTGCCCCTCAGCTTCCTACACAGATACCAGAGATAGAGAAGTACTGGGGACAGATGGTGTACCAGCTTGTTCTCCAGGTAGTGCAGCGTTTTTGCAATTAAAACATGAAGGAACATTTCCCAGTTGTGAGCTCCACAGGGGGTAGATGCTGCTATTTTGATTTTTCCTTCATACTAAGGTAGGAAAAAGAAGGATAAGCAGCCTGAAAGATAAGGGACTACCTTATTTTATTTTAATTAATTAATTAATTAATTAATTTTCGAGACAGGGTCTTGCTCTGTCACCCAGACTAGAGTGCAGTGGCATGATCACGGCTCACTGCAGCCTTCACCTTCTGAGCTCAAGCAATCCTCCTGCCTCAGCCTCCTGAGTAGCTAGGACTATACGTGCACAACACCATGCCTGGCCAATTTTTGCATTTTTTTGTAGAGATGGGGTTTTGCCATGTTGCCCAGGGTGGCCTCAAAGTCCTGGGCTCAAGTCATTCCACCCCACCTTGGCTTCCTAGAGTTCTGGGGTTACAGGCGTGAACCATTGCACCTGGCCTTACCTTATTTTCTTTGATGAATTAGGTTATATGCATTTCATCATTTTAACTCAGGTATGATGCTTAGTTTAATCCCTTTCAGGATTGATATGGCAGCCTTGTTGATTGGTGTCTGCTCTGAGGTCTCAGGGAGAAAAGATTGGATCCAGCAGCTTGCGCCACGGTGAGCTAGCTGTGTCAGCTTACATGGCATTTCCGACTACGTGACATAGTCACTGCTTGGTTCTGCGTTAGCTGGTGAAAGAAGAGAATTCTTAAAATCAACAAGCATGTATTTTGAGTTCATCTAACAGTCTACAAAGGAATAACAGGCTGGGCACGGTGGCTCACGCCTGTAATCCTGGCACTTTGGGAGGCTGAGGTGGGCGGATCACCTGAGGTCAGGAGTTGAGACCAGTCTGGCCAACATGTTGAAACCTCGTCTTTATAAAAATACAAAAAGTAGCCAGACGTGGTGGTGCATGCCTATAGTCCCAGCTATTTGGGAGGCTGAGGCAGGAGAATCGCTTGAACCTGGGAGGCGGAGGTTGCAGTGAGCCAAGATAACGCCATTGCACTCCAGCCTGGGCAACAGAGTGAGACTCCGTCTCAAAAAAAAAAAAAAAAAAAGTACCTGGGCATAGTGGCACGTGCCTGTAATCCCAGCTGCTTGGGAGGCTGAGGCAGGAGAATCGCTTGAAACTGGGAGGCAGAGGTTGCAGTGAACCAAGATTGCGCCACTGCACTCCAGCCTGAGCAACAGAGCGAGACTCCATCTCAAAAATAATAAATAAATAAATAGGATAACAAATTAAAAGCCTTGGTTCCACTTGCTTGTTATAATGTAGTCTTTTGGCTGGGCGTGGGGGCTCACTCCTGTAATCCTAGCACTTTGGGAGGCCAAGGTGGGCAGATCACCAGAGGTCGGGAGTTCAAGATCAGCCTGGCCAACATGATGAAACCCTGTCTCTACTAAAATACAAAAATTAGCTGGGCATGATGGCGGGTGCCTGTAATCCCAGCTACTTGGGAGGCTGAGATGGGAAAATTGCTTGAACCCAGGAGACAGTGGTTGCAGTGAGCTGAGATCATGCCACTGCACTCCACCCTGGGCGGCTGAGCAAGACTCCGTCTCAAAAAAAAAAAAAAAAAAATAATAATAATAATATAGTCTTATCCATGTCAAAAAGTGAATAATTAAAATCACTTATAAGAGCATAGGATAAAAGTTTATTTTTAGTTATATAGATTCGAAATTTATGATAGTTTAAATAGTAAATTTTGAGATCAGGTGGACATTGGGGCTGCTCCGTTGAATATCTAGGGGCATTTGTTCTGGTAATTTATTATAGGCAGCAAGGTGTTGGATTTTACTACTTAGAGAACTTTTTAGGTAAGGTTCATAATTGCTTATACCCCAAACCTCTGCTTTCCTGTTTTTCTATATTATACTTCACTTGAGTTTTTAATAAGTTTCTAAATAACCGTTCCCCAGTGAGGGGAAAAAAAGTTTTTTGGAGAAACGGTAAATTCCACTTCTGAGTTGGGGTGAATACACAATGAGCCTGGAATATCTTCTAGTACCAGAAAGTAATGACATACTCAAAAAATGACATGTCAGAAGAACCTAGAGTGAGCTCAGGGCAAAGCTGGGACAACATGAGTTTCAAGATGAATAATGACAATAATGACTTATAACCCATTGAATAAGATACAGTACATACAGGGGATAGAGTGGATGCCGATGAATAAATATAGAAAGAATAATAAACTATTATATTACTTATTTCTAAAATAATGTAATAGCATTTTTCATACTTTTAAAGTTAGATTTTTCATGTATGTTATTTAGTGTATGAGGTTGAAATACCAGATTGCCAGTCTTCAATAGTTTCTGACCTATCAAATAGTTTTTGATGTATAAAAATGTCAGTTTCATACAGTTTTAACCTAATTGGTGATTTTAGAGGCTCTTAAATTTTGCAACAATCATAGTAATAATTGATTCGTGGAACAATTGGCAAAGGGAAATTTGAAAAGGAACAGGATAACTACCTAGTTTCAAAGAACCACCCCTTCCCCCTTTAGGTTACTTACAGTTACAGAGAGAAGTGTGGGAGTTTACAAAGTAAAGAGTTTGCTTTGGAGAAAGCACAGGCCACCTCCCTGACCAGGTGCTCATCTCCTGATGTGACGCACCTGGAAGGACAAGCAGCGCCTCCGTGCTCTTCACGCCAGAAATGTGTCATCTGAATCCAATGACGTGGAAACTTCAGACACACCCAGTTGAGGGACTGTGTAAAATCAGCTCCTCAAAAACATTAAGGTCATGAGAGTAAAAGAAGACTGAGGAACTATTCCAGATTGAAGGAGGCTAAAGAGACATGACAAGTACATGAAATTCGCAATCCTAAGGGGCCTTGTATCGGGGAGAATATTGGGATAAACAGGTGAAATTTAAGTGTGGACTGTATTCCAGATAATAGTATTGAATGAGTGTTAAGTTTTAGCAATTTGATAATTCCTCTGTGGTTACAAAAATGAATACACTTGTTTCCGTGGGGGCGCAGCGGCTCACACCTGTAATCCCAGCACTTTGGGAGGCCAAGGCAGGTGGATCACCTGAGGTCAGGAGTTCAAGACCAGCCTGACCAACACAGTGAAACCCTGTCTCTAGGGAAAATACAAAAATTAGCCTGTTGTGGTGGCACATGCCTGTAATCCCAGCTACTCTGGAGGCTGAGTCAGGAGAATCGCCTGAGCCTGGGAGGTGGAGGTGCAGTGAGCTGAGATTGCACCACTGCACTCCAGCCTGGGAGACAGAGTGAGCCTCTGTCTGAAAAAAAGTCTAAAAAAAACAAAAACAAAAACAAAAAACAATACACGCTTTTAAAATGGACATGCCAAAATATTACAGTTAATGAGACATGTTGATGTCTGTAACTGATTCTCAAACAGCTTAGGAAAAAACACATACACACAGAATGAAGGAAGATGTAATTGGTGAATCTGGGTGAAGGGTATACTGGAGTCATTTGCGCGAATCCTGCAACTCTTCTGAAAGTTTGAAATTATTTCAAAATAATTTTTCTTGAAACCTACCATCTCAGAGGAATTCCTAAATGTTGTAATAAGTAGAGTGCTACTTTCATCATTAAAATAGTTTAATGGATTCAAAGTCTCTTGGGTGACTAGATCTTCCTTTTCTTCATTTTTTTTTCCACTTGCATTTTGATTAGTTGTCACAAGATGCCCGTTGAGAGTAGCTAGGATCTAGTGGGTAGGCATATTTAAAATGTGCAGCTAAAATAGGATTTTTAACACATCCAATGACTTCTGCTTTTTCCATAACAAATACAACTGTTGCTGAAAACAGCGTATATATGACATTCAATCTGAAATGATTCGCAGTGTGGTATTCAGTTTAGTGCAAAGGTTAAAAGAAATATGAACTCCCTCCCGAGTGTCTATTAAGTATCAATGGCATGTTTAACTATTACTAGCTTTTCTTGTCTTCTAAATATTTCTTTTCCTTCATCTCCTGAAGAACCTTACAGTATCTTTTTTTTTTTTTTTTTTTTGAGACAAGGGCTTGCTCTGTCATCCAGGCTGGGGTGCAGTGGTGCAATCACTGCTCACTGCAGCCCTGACCTCCCAGGCTCAAGCGATCCTATCACCTCAGCCCCCCTAGTAGCTGGGACCACAGGCATGCATCACCATGCCCAGCTATTTTTTGTAGAGATGGGGTCTTGCCATGTTGCCCAGGATGGTCTCAAACTCCTGGGCTCAAGTGATCCACCTGCCTCGGCCTCCCAAAGTGCTGGGGTTACAGATGTGAGCCACCACGCCAAGCCAGTATCTTTTTTTGTTGTTCTGTGCCGCTTCTTGGCTTCTGATAGCTCTGATCTATCTAATCTGTTGAGGAATGCTAGTTTTAAAGGAAACTGTTAACCTGTTTTATGCTGTTACTGTGTCAGCACTAATTGCTCCCGATTTCTCTTCCTTCCTCTTGTTCATAATATACCCAAGGCTTTAAATTCCTGGTTAATGAATCCATTTATACACTTTCTTTCTTTTCTTTTCTTTTTTTTTTTTTGGAAACAGAGTCTACCTCTGTCACCCAGGCTGGAGTGCAGTGCCACCATCTCAGCTCACTGCAACCTCCGCCTCCTGGGTTCAAGCGATTCTCCTGCTTCAGCCTCCTGCGTACCTGGAACTACAGGTGCGCACCACCACACCAGCTAAATTTTTTTGTATTTTTTAATAGAGACAGGGTTTCCCATGTTGGCCAGGCTGGTCCCGAACTCCTGACCCCAAGTGATCCTCCTACCTCGCCCTCCGAAAGTGCTGGGATTACAGGCGTGAGCCGCTGTGCCCGATGATACTTTCTTAAAGGGAACATATTATTTTTCTTCTAAACATTTTTAAACCACCAAATGAAATTTATTATCCTTTAAATAACTTTACCGGGGTTTGTTTAAAGTGTTTTAGCTATAACAATTATTTCTTTATTTTCAAAGGGAAAAAGGATTGCCTAAACAAAAATAGATGTGGTCACCTCTTGTTGAATTCACAGTGAAGACAAAATATTTGTTGATGCCCACTGTTTCTAAAGTAATATAATAGTATTTTTCATACTTTTAAAATAATTAGATTTTTCATTTATGTTATTTAATGTATGAGGTCGAAATACCAGATTGCCAGTCTTCAATAGTTTTTGACCTATAAAACAGTTTTTGATGTATAAAAATGTCAGTTTCATACAGTTTTAACCTAATTGGTGATTTTAGAGGCTCTTAAATTCTCTTAGAATTTAAATTCTTGAAATTTCTTGAAATTTAAATTCTTGAAATTAAATTCTTGAAAATTCATCTTGTAGTAGGCATTTTGTATATAAACAATTAAATATTGAATGTATATCCCTTAATCTGAAATTTCCCTTTTAATGCGATTAGGTGAATTTTGAATGACACAGGTTGATTATAATGCTTAGTGAGAAAAGCAGGAGACAGAATATGTATTGTTAGTTTGGCTAAGCTGTTACAAAACAAGAAGGAAACATGTAAAACGTTACGATATGGTTAACCTTATTTTATGTGTATTTGAAGGTATAAGATAATCCCATTTATAAATTTATATATTTCAGTCAGTCGTCCTGAGGTAAACTTGAGTAACTCCCATTTAAGTGTGCAGTTGGATGAGTTTAGACAAATGTGGAACATTTCCATCACCCTGAAAAGTTTCCTGTTCCCCTCTGCAGTCTGTCCACACTCTGCTCCCAGCTTCCTGTAGCCCTGATGTACTTTCTGTCACAACAGTTTTGTGTGTTCTAGACTTTTCATACAAATGGAGTCATAGAAAATGTAGGTTTTGATTGTCTGCTTTCTTTCACGTAGCAGCATATCCATGATTTTTTGTGTCAGTGGCCTGTCCCTTTTGTTGCTAAATAGGCTGAGTATACCACAGTTCGTTCATCCATTTGCCAGTTGAAGGACATTTGGGTCATTTCCAGGTTTTGGCTAGTAGGAATAAAACTGAACATTTGCTTATAATTTTTTGTGTCTAATTAAATTTTCCTCCATCTTAAGTAAATACCTGAGAGTAGGACTCCTGGTCCTGTTGTAAGTGTATGTTTAACTTTATTAAGAAGCTGCTTTTCAAAGTGACTATACAGCATTTTACATTCCCACCAGCAATATCTGAGAGTTTCCGTTGACACCATTTGGTACTGTTGTCACCTTTTAAAAATGTATCTGTTCTAACGGGTAGGTAGTGGTATCTCATTATGATTGGAATTTGCATTTCTCTGGTGGCTGGTGATAGGGAGTATCCGCATGTGCTTATTGGCCATTCCTGTATCTCCTTTTTATTGGTTTATTAATCTTACTGATTGGCAGTTCTTTATAGATTCTGAATACAGTCCATTGTCAAATGTGTTTTGCAAGTATTTCCTCCCAGTCTATAGTTGCCTTTCCATTTCTATAAATCTCTTTTAAAAAGACCAAACCTTTAGTGGCCTTTGTTTAAAATCAGCTGACCGTGTAAGTGAGTTATTTCTGGACTCTGTTCCATTCTGTTAATCTGTGTCTATCTTATGCCAGTACCATATGGTCTGAATTATCATAGCTTTGTAGAAGTCTTGAAATCTGGCAGTATAAATCCTCTATCTTTGTTTTTTTTTGTTTGTTTTTTGTTTTCAAAATTGTTTTAAGCCAGACATGGTGGCTCACGCCTGTAATCCCAGCACGTTGGGAGGCTGAGGCAGGAGGATTGCTTGCATCCAGGAGTTTGAGACCAGCCTGTGCAACATAGGCATACCCTGTCTTTATGGAAAAAAATTTGTTTTAGCTACTTGAAATCTTTTGCATTTCCATATAAATTTTAGCATCAGTTTATCAATTTTCATGAAAATGTATGGTTGGGATTGTGTTGAATTTATAGGTCAAGTTGGAAAGAATTGATACCTTAACAATAATGAGTCTTCCATTCCAACCTGGTTTAGCTGTTCATTTATTTAGGTCTTCAATATCTTTCACCTTTACACACATTATACGAACTTTATTCCTAAGTATTTTATGTATTTTCATGCTACCGTAAATGGCATTTTAAAATTTTAATTTCTAGTTAGGTATTGCTACTATAAGAAAATACAGTTGATTTATTTTATTAGTATTTTACTTTTTTTTTTTTTTGAGACGGAGTCTTGCTCTGTCACTAGGCTGGAGTGCAGTGGCGCAATCTCGGCTCACTGCAACCTCTGTCTCCCAGGTTCAAGCGATTCTCATGCCTCAGCCTCCCAAGTAGCTGGGACTACAGGCGCGCACCACCACACCCAGCTAATTTTTGTATTTTTAGTAGAGATGGGGTTTCACCATGTTGGCCAGGATGCTCTTTTTTTTTTTTTTTTTTTTTTTTAAATTTTATTTTTATTTTTTTATTTTTTTATTTTTTATTTTTTTTATTTTATTTTTTTTTTTATTGATCATTCTTGGGTGTTTCTCGCAGAGGGGGATTTGGCAGGGTCATAGGACAATAGTGGAGGGAAGGTCAGCAGATAAACAAGTGAACAAAGGTCTCTGGTTTTCCTAGGCAGAGGACCCTGCGGCCTTCCGCAGTGTTTGTGTCCCTGGGTACTTAAGATTAGGGAGTGGTGATGACTCTTAACGAGCATGCTGCCTTCAAGCATCTGTTTAACAAAGCACATCTTGCACCGCCCTTAATCCATTTAACCCTGAGTGGACACAGCACATGTTTCAGAGAGCACAGGGTTGGGGATAAGGTCACAGATCAACAGGATCCCAAGGCAGAAGAATTTTTCTTAGTACAGAACAAAATGAAAAGTCTCCCATGTCTACTTCTATCCACACAGACCCGGCAACCATCTGATTTCTCAATTTTTTCCCCACCCTTCCCGCCTTTCTATTCCACAAAACCGCCATTGTCATCATGGCCCATCCCCAATGAGCCGCTGGGCACACCTCCCAGACGGGGTCGTGGCCGGGCAGAGGGGCTCCTCACTTCCCAGTAGGGGCGGCCGGGCAGAGGCGCCCCTCACCTCCCGGACGGGGCGGCCGGCCGGGCGGGGGGCTGACCCCCCCACCTCCCTCCCGGACAGGGCGGCTGGCCGACCCCCACCCCCCCGCCTCCCTCCCGGACGGGGCGGCTGGCCGGGCAGAGGGGCTCCTCACTTCCCAGTAGGGGCGGCCGGGCAGAGGCGCCCCTCACCTCCCGGACGGGGCGGCTGGCCAGGCGGGGGGCTGATCCCCCCACCTCCCTCCCGGACGGGGCGGCTGGCCGGGCGGGGGGCTGACCCCCCCCACCTCCCTCCCGGACGGGGCGGCTGGCCAGGTGGAGGGCTGACCCCCCACCTCCCTCCCGGATGGGGCGGCTGGCCAGGCGGGGGGCTGACCCCCCCACCTCCCTCCCGGACGGGGCGGCTGGCCGGGCGGGGGGCTGATCCCCCCACCTCCCTCCCGGACTGGGCGGCTGGCCGGGCGGGGGGCTGACCCCCCCTCCCCCCTCCCGGACGGGGCGGCTGGCCGGGCAGAGGGGCTCCTCACTTCCCAGTAGGGGCGGCCGGGCAGAGGCGCCCCTCACCTCCCGGACTGGGCGGCTGGCCGGGCGGGGGGCTGACCCCCCCCACCTCCCTCCTGGACGGGGCGACTGGCCAGGCAGAGGGGCTCCTCACTTCCCAGTAGGGGCGGCCGGGCAGAGGAGCCCCTCACCTCCCGGACGGGGCGGCTGGCCGGGCGGGGGGCTGACCCCCCCCACCTCCCTCCCGGACGGGGTGGCTGCCGGGCGGAGACGCTCCTCACTTCCCAGACGGGGTGGCTGCTGGACGGAGGGGCTCCTCACTTCTCAGACGGGGCGGTTGCCAGGCAGAGGGTTTCCTCACTTCTCAGACGGGGCGGCCGGGCAGAGACGCTCCTCACCTCCCAGACAGGGTTGCGGCCAGCAGAGGCGCTCCTCACATCCCAGACAGGGCGGCGGGTCAGAGGTGCTCCCCACATCTCAGACGATGGGCGGCCGGGCAGAGACGCTCCTCACTTCCTAGATGGGAAGGCGGCGGGGAAGAGGCGCTCCTCGCTTCCTAGATGGGACGGCGGCCGGGCAGAGACGCTCCTCACTTTCCAGACTGGGCAGCCAGGCAGAGAGGCTCCTCATATCCCAGACGATGGGTGGCCAAGCAGAGACGCTCCTCACTTCCCAGACGGGGTGGCGGCTGGGCAGAGGCTGCAATCTCGGCACTTTGGGGGGCCAAGGCAGGCGGCTGGGAGGTGGAGGCTGTAGCGAGCCGAGATCACGCCACTGCACTCCAGCCTGGGCACCACTGAGCACTGAGTGAACGAGACTCCATCCGCAATCCCGGCACCCCGGGAGGCCGAGGCTGGCGGATCACTCACGGCTAGGAGCTGGAGACCAGCCCGGCCAACACAGCAAAACCCCGTCTCCACCAAAAAAAAAACGAGAACCAGTGAGGCGTAGCAGGCTGAGGCAGGAGAATCAGGCAGGGAGGCTGCAGTGAGCCGAGATGGCAGCAGCACCGTCCAGCCTTGGCTCGGCATCAGAGGGAGACCGTGGAAGGAGACCGTGGAGGGAGAGGGAGAGGGAGAGGGAGAGGGAGAGCCAGGATGCTCTTGATCTCTTGACCTTGTGATCTACCCACCTTGGCCTTCCAAAGTGCTGAGATTACAGGTGTGAGCCACTGCACCTGGCCCCAACAATTGATTTTGTGTTGACCTTTCATTCTGTGGCCTTGCTGAACTCACTTATTAGTTCTAATAGGTTTTTCCTAGATTTCATGGAATTTTCTGCGTAGAAGACCATGTCTTCTGTGATGTAAAGGCAGAAGTAAAGGCAGTTTTACTTCTTTCATTTCAGTTTGTATGCATTTTATTTCTTTTTCTTGCCTTACTTGTACTGACTAGGATCTCCAGCACAATTTTGAATAGAAGTGGTGAAGAGTGGCCATCTTGCATCATTCCCAATCTTAAGGCAGTTTTATTATACTTTGACCATGATGATGTTGGCTGTTACAGAGTTTTTTGGTTTGGGGGTTTTGTTTGTTTCTTAGATTCACTTTATTAGGTTGAGGAAGTTTTCTTCTATTTCTAGTCTGTTTAGAGTTTTTAATCATGAATGATGAGTTTTGTCATGAAAAAGCATTGACTTTTTCCAAATGCTTTTTCTAGTCTATTGAGGTGATAATGTGGTTTGTCCTTTTTAGTCCATTAATACAGTGACTTATAGATATTGATTTTTGAATATTAAACCAGCCTTGCCTTCTTGTAGTAAATGCCCCTTGGTTATAATGTATTATTCTTTTTATATATTGCTGGATTAAATTTACTAGTATTTTATTAAGGATTTTAAAGCCTTTTTTATATACCTTTTATTTTATTATTTTTTAAATTAATTAATTTTTTTTTTTTAAGTTAGAGTCTTACTCTGTTGCCCAGGCTGGAGTGGAGTGGCACCATCTCAGCTCACTGTGACCTCTGCCTCTCGGGTTCAAGCAATTCTCCTGTCTCAGCCTCCTGAGTAGCTAGGATTACAGGTGTGTGCCACCACACCTGTCTAATTTTTGTATTTTCAGTAGAGGCGGGGTTTTGCCATATTGGCCAGGCTGGTCTCAAACTCCTGACCTCAAGTGATCCACCCACCTCAGCCTCCCAAAGTGCTGGGATTACAGGCGTGAGCCACCACGCATATAAATCCCTGACCTTTATATGCATTTTATTTTTACTTGACAAATAATAGTTGTATTTTTTGGGGGGTACAAGGTGATGTTTTAATATACAGTCATGTGTTGCTTAATGAGGGGGGAAATCTGAGAAATGCATCATTAGGTGATTTTTTTGTTATTGTGTGAATGCTATAGATGATATAGCCTACTACACACCTAGGCCTATAATGTAATAATAGCCTGTGTTTTCTAGGCTACAAACCTGTACGGCATGTACAGCATGGTATTGAATACCATGGGCAGTTTTAGCACAGTGGTAAGTTTTGTGTATGTAAACATATCAAACATAGAAAAGGGACAGTAAAAATTAAAGATAAAAATGGGCTGAGCACGGCGGCTTACACCTGTAATCCCAGCACTTTGGGAGGCCAAGGTGGGTGGATCACGAGGTTAGGAGATGGAGACCATTGTGGCTAACATGGTGAAACCCTGTCTCTACTAAAAATACAAAAAATTAGCCTAGCATGGTGGCATGCACCTCTAATTCCAGCACTTTGAGAGGCCTAAGTGGGTGGAACACCTGAGGTCAGGAGTTCAAGACCAGCCTGGCCAACATGGTGAAACCCTGTCACTACTAAAAATACAAAAATTAGCTGGGAGTGGTGGAGGGGGTGCCTGTACTCCCAGCTACTCGGGAGGCTGAGGCAGGGGAATTGCTTGAACCCGGGAGGCAGAGTTTGCAGTGAGCCAAGATCACGCCACTGCACTGCAGCCTGGGCGACAGAGCGAAACTCCATCTCAAAAAAAAAAAAAAAAAATGGTCCATCTGTGTAGGGCACTTACCATGAGTGGAGCTTGCAGGACTAGAAGCTGCTCTGTGTGAGTCAGTGAGAGAGTGGCGAGCGAATATGAAGGCCTAGAACATCACTGTATAGTATTGTAGACTTTATAAACACCGTACACTTAAGCTACACTTTATTTTTTAAAACTGTGCTATGATGTTGCAACAGCTACGACATCACTAGGCAATAGGAATTTTTCAACTTCATTTTATTTTATTTTATTTTACTTTATTTTATTTTGAGACAGAGTCTCGCTCTGTAGCCCAGGCTGGAGTGCAGTGGTGTGATCTCTGCTCACTGCAACCTCCACCTCTGGGGTTCAAGCTATTTTCCTGCGTCAGCCTCCTGAGTAGCTGGGATTATAGATGCCCACCACCACATCTGGCTAATTTTTGTATTTTTAGCAGAGGCAGGGTTTCACCATGTTGGCCAAGCTAGTCTCGAACTCTTGGCCTCAAGTGATCTGCCGCCTTAGCCTCCCAAAGTGTGAGCCACCGTGCCCGGCCTCAACTCCATTTTAATCTTATGGGACCCCCTGTTGTAAGTGCCATCTGTTACTGACTGAGATGTCCTTATGTGACTCATGGCTGTATGTATTTATTGTTAAATGATTCAATCAAACTAACTAACATATGCCTCACCCAATTTTTTGTGTGGTGAGAACATTTTAAGTCTAATCTTTTAGCAATTTTGAAATATGTAATATGTCATTATTAACTATAGTCAACATGCTATGCTAAAAACTAAAACTTATTCCTGCTGTCTGAAACTTTGTGCCCTCCCACCAACATCTTCCCTTTTCCCAGCCTACCCTCCCTTGTTAAGGATTTTTATATCTTATGTTCATGAAGGATACCTGGTCTATACCTTTCTTATCATTATAAGAAATAAGGCCAGGTGCGGTGGCTCACCCCTGTAATCCCCGCACTTCGGGAGGCCGAGGTGGACGGATCACGAGGTCAGGAGATCGAGACCATCCTGGCTAACATGGTGAAACCCCGTTTCTACTAAAAATAAAAATAATAATAAAAAAAAAATAGCCGGGCGTCGTGGTGGGCGCCTGTAGTCCCAGCTACTCGGGAGGCTGAGGCAGGATAATGGCCTGAACTCAGGAGGTGGAGCTTGCAGCGAGCCTAGATCGTGCTACTGCACTCCAGCCTGGGTGACAGAGTGAGACTGTGTCTCAAAAAAAAAAAAAAAGAAATGATATGATTTGTTGATGTAATACTGGCCTTATAAGATGAGTTGGGGAAGTGTTCCCTCTTTAATATTTTTTGGAAGAGTTTGCATATAATTAATATTATTTCTTCCTTAAATGTTTAGTAGAATTCACTAGTGAAGTGACTTGGGTCTGGAAAGTTAATACAAATTCAGTTTCTTTAATTGATAGAGAACTATTCAAGTTATCTATTTCTCTGTCACGCATGGTGGCTCATGCTTGTAATTCCAGCACTTAGAGAGGCTGAGGCGGGAGTTTGAGACCAGCCTGTCCAACATGGTGAAACCCTGTCTCTACTAAAAATACAAAAGAAAATTAGCCGGGTGTGGTGGCGCACGCTTGTAATCCCAACTACTCAGGAGGCTGAGGCGGGAAAATCGCTTGAGCCCGGAAGTGGAGGTTGCAGTGAGTGGAGATCACGCCACTGCACTCCAGCCTGGGCGACAGAGTGGTACTCTGTCTCAAAAACAAAAAAATTAGTTGGGCGTGGTGGCACACACATATAATCCCAGCTACTTGCGAGGCTGAGGCGGGAGAATTACCTCAACCCGGAAGGCGGAGGTGGCGGTGAGCCCAGATGGTACCACTGCACTCCAGCCTGGGCAACAGAACAAGACTATCTCAAAAAAAAAAAAGAACTATTGAAGTTATCTATTTCTTCCTGAGTAATCTTGGGTAGTTTGTGTTTTTGAAGCAATTTGTTTCATCTAAGTTGTGAAATTTATTGGCAAAAAGTTGTTCTATACCTCTTCACACCCTTTAATACCTGTAGGACCTGCGGGACGTCCCCTCTTAATACCTATAGGGTCTGTGGGACGTCCCCTCTTTCAGTTCTGATACTGAGAGTTCTGTCTTCTTTTTTTCTTGACTTCAAGAAAATTTGTTTTCATAGAACCAGCTCTTGGTTTCATCATTCTTCTCCATTGTTTTCCTGTTTTCTCTTTCCTCAGTTTCTGCTCTAATCTTTTTTTTTTTCCTTTCTTCTTCTTACTTGGGTTTCATTTGCTCTTGTTAATTTGCTTTACAAATCGTAACTCCGTCAGCATCTCTGAACTTTGATCTGTGTCTCATCAACTCAGCAAGACGTTGGACTGTGTTTGAATTTCTTTTCCCTGTACTGCAGTCTGGGAATTTCCTTCTAGGAAAGCTCTAGCAAATGCAGGCTCACCTCATTTGTTTCTGGGACTGTAGGTCTGCACTGCCAGTTATCCAATGTCTGAAAAACAGCTATTTTATATGTTTTGTCCAGTTTCCTGGTTGTTTATGGTGGAAGGGCAATTCCCATAGTAACTAATCTTTCATGGGCTGAAGCAAAGGTCCTTTACAAACTTTTTAGAATAATCAGAAGCAGTATATTCTATCCCTTTACCTTTTAATCAGTTCAGTCCAACTTCTCCACATTCCTTCTTCTGGATTTGTTTTTACTCTAGAGCAAATTGATTTCATGATCTGTTGAAACTCAAATGCATTATCTATCCTTAAATTACGTGCAGATGAGGACATCTCACAATACAGGTTCATGCTGGATCTAATCTTGAGTTCTCTTAGTATTATGTTTTTGTTGTTTTTTATTTTCTAATTTCTGTCCTAGAGATAAACGGCCTTCGTTGTAAGCATGACAGATGAGACTTCTTTACTCTTTTTCCAAATATTTAATACATAGCCCTGAAGCATTGGAGAGGCTAAGTACATTTATTTATTTATTTATTTTTTAAGTTGCCTTGGGCTTGTTTTCCATCATTAGATTTGGTCTTTGTCGAAATACATTGTATGTAATTCCTGATATTTTTCACTTGTGACCTTACTCAATGTTTGTTTGTTACTGTTCTCATCTTATTCACTTGAATAATGCTTAGTTTAAAATTTTAACCACATAAACCGTATTTACTTGTCTGATTTTTTTTTTCCTAGATGGTATAGCTGCATGCTGGGAAAGAAATGCAGCCTGGCGCCTCTGAAGGAGGAGCTTCGCATACAAGGGGTGAGGCTTCCTCATTACTGTTCTCGTGTAGCTACTTTTCTTTGTATCCATGGGGCACAAGTACAGTTTTGCTACATTGATATATTGCATTGTGGTGAAGTCAGGGCTTTCAGTGTAACTGTCACCGGAACAATTCATGTCGTTGTGCATGTCCTACCCACCAAGCAACCTCCCGTCACCCGGTCTCCCACTCCCCAACCACAAGTCTCCCTTTGCCCGTCATTCCATACTTTGCTTCCATGTGTACACATTATTTAACTCCTACTTAGAAGTAAGAACACGTGGTATTTGTCTCAGTTGTTTCACTTAAGATAATGGCCTCCAGTTCTGTCCATGTTGCTGAAGACACAATTTCATTCTTTTTTATGGCTGAATAGTATTCCATTGTGTATGTATACTGCATTTTTAAAATCCAGTCCTTTGTTGATGGATACTTAAGTTTATTCAAGTCCAGATATCTTTTCTTTCTTTTCTTTTCTTCTTCTTCTTCTTCTTTTTTTTTTTTTTTTTTTTTTTTTTGAGATCAAGTCTAGCTCTGTTCCCAGGCTGGAGTACAGTGGTGGGATCATGACTCACTGTAACCTTGAACTCCTGGGCTCAACCCATCCTCCTACCTCAGCCTCCTGAGTAGCTGGGACTATAGGCAGATGGCACCATGCCTAGCTAATTTTGTTTTTCTTTAGTAGTGATGGGGTCTTGCCATGTTGCCCAGGCTGGTCTCAAATTCCTGGGCTCAAGCAGTCCTCTCACCTCAGCCTCCCAAAGTGCTGGGATTACAGGTGTGCACCATTGCACCCCACCTAATGATTTCTTTTCCTTTGGGACCAAGTCTTCTAGTATTTTTTGTACTTTCAGGTCTTATATTCAAGTCTTTAGTCCATCTTGAGGTTTTTTTTCATATATCTACTGTTTTGTTTTTGTTTTTTTTTGAGAAATGGGGTCGGGCTGGGCGCAGTGGCTCACGCCTGTAATCCCAGCACTTTGGCAGGCCGATGTGGGCGGATCATGAGGTCAAGAGATCGAGACCATCCTGGGCAACATGGTGAAACCCCATCTCTACTAAAAATGCAAAAATTAGCCGGGCATGGTGGCACGCGCCTGTAGTCCCAGCTACTGGGGAGGCTGAGGCAGGAGAATCTCTTGAACCTGGGAGGCAGAGGTTGCAGTGAGCTGAGATCGTGCCACTGCACTCCAGCCTGGTGACACAGCGAGACTCCGTCTCAAAAAAAAAAAAAGATGGTGTCTTGCTCTGTCAACCAGACTGTAGTGTGGTTGCACAGTCATAGTTTGCTGCAACCTCAAACATCTAGGCTTAAGCAATCCTCCCACTTCAGCCTCTCAAGTAGCTGGGACTGTTGGCACACACCACCACGCCCAGCTAATTTTTAAATTTTTAGTAGAAACAAGGTCTCTCTGTGTTGCCCAGACTAGTTCAAACTCCTGTACTCAAGTAATCCTTATTTTTTATAAAGATAGGGTCTTGCTGTATTGCCCAGGCTGGTCTCAAACTACTGGCCTCAAGTGATCCTTCCACCTTGGCCTCCCAAAGTGCTGGGATTACAGGCGTGACCCATGCACCTGACCTGTGTCTACTCTGATGGTAGTTTTGAGTATAGAATTTTCTTTATACTCTAAAACTCTAAATATGTTTTTTGTTTTGTTTTCTAAGTTTTATATTTTTAGGGCTAAAATATATTTTTTATAGATTATTAAAACAAGGCCTTTTTTGACAATTATAGAGAAAGGTGGAGAAAAACAGGGTGAGTAGAATGTCAGAGAGAAGCCAGAAATCAAAAAACCTGGTATCTACCACTGACCTCACATCGAACTCCTTTTTAATATTTTTTTAATTTTTATTTTTTACTATGCCTCCAAGACAAGTTCAACTCACTCCTTTATAGATCCAGAAACTCAAGCTACATAGGTTTAAGGGCTTGTTGTGGGCCATGCAGTTAGCTCTGGGGGAACAGCACCAGCACACGGTCTCGGTCCCCTGTGCTTCCCACTAGGATGACATTCCACAAGAGCAGAGCCCCGTGCTCCTGTTTCAGAAGGCAGGTCGCAAGTAAGTACTCCCAGGCCGGGCAAAGTGGCTCATGTCTGTAATCACAGCACTTTGGGAGGCTGAGGCGGGCAGATTGCTTGAACCTAGGAATTCAAGACCAGCCTGGGCAACACAGCGAAATCTCATCTCAACAAAAAAATACAAAAAGTTAGCCAAGTGTGATGGCGCGTGCTTGTAGTCCCCACTACCCAGGAGGCTGAGGTGGGAGGATCCATTGAGCCCGGAAAGTTGAAGTTGCAGCAAGCTAAGATCACGCCACTGCACTACAATCTGGACGACAGAGCGAGACCCTGTCTCCCCAAAAAATTTTCTTTTAAATAAAATAAATACTCCCACCGCCACTTCCACTTTCCTCCCAGTTTCTGGTTTTTAGTGTGAGTCAGAGGACTTCTCAGCAAAAGGGTCAGATGCAAGCCAGTGGGAGGAGCAGAGTTTCTGGTCTCTGGTTTCTCTCTGACGTCCTATTCCTCCTCTTTTCCTCACAATACCATTTCTTGGGTAAATTGTGAGAGCTACAAACTAGTTCCTTTACCTTTCCTAAAATCTGATTGATAAAACAGATTACCTACCTGTGTCTAGCCCAGACTTTGGTTGACTTTCTTTCTAAAAAAGAAAACAAAAAATCACTTGAGGCTGGGTGTGGTGGCTCACACCTGTAATCTCAGCACTTTGGGAGGCCGAGGTGGGCGGATCGCCTGAGGTCAGGAGTTTGAGACCAGTGATGGTGAAACCCCATCTCTACTAAAAATACAAAAATTAGCTGGGCGTGGTGGCATGCGCCTGTAATCCCAGCCACTCGGGAGGCTGAGGCAGGAGAATTGCTTGAATCTGGGAGGTGGAGGTTGCAGTGAGCCAAGACCGCACACTGCACTCCAGCCTGGGTGACAGAGCAAGACTCTGTCTCAAAAAAACAAAAAACAAAAAAACTCACTTGAGTCATATTACAAATAATTCTCTAAAGAGCTGTGTTTTCAGTGTTTCATATATTTGAACCTTCAAGTCATATCTGTAAATTCTCTTATGTTTTATGGGAGGAAAAAATATAACTTTGTTGAGAGATGATTTATTCATTCATTATTAGGCAGCTATCTATAACTGTTGTTTGGTAATATTGTTTGTTAACTGATTAAAAAGAAGGATCAACATAATATGGCATGACGCAGCAGCCAGAAACATATTGGTAGAATGATTGCAGTTTGATGAGATGCTGTCTTTGTTGGTTTCAGGTTCCCAAAGTAACGTACACTGAATTCTGTCAAGGTCGGACAATGAGATGGGCCTTAGCTTGGAGTTTTTATGATGATGTCACAGTACCAGTAAGTACAGACCTTGCTCCGCTTCACCACCTGCCAGCACATGGTGGGTTTCAGTCCATCATAAGTGAACTGAATTGGTAGTGTCCTGTTTAACTGAAGTTTGTCCCAAATGCTTATGTCAGAATGGAAAGGGGTTGTAACCAAGACACAGTCCTAGAAGGCTGGTCCTGGAGACTGTGGAGCCTTCCTCTGTGAGTCTGTACAACATAGTGATTTTTGCTCAGCTGACAGAAATGTATCTTTTAGGAATTAAAAATTTGGCTGGGCATGGTGGCTTATGCCTGTAATCCCAGCACTTTGGGAAGCCGAGCTGGGCGGATAACTTGAGGCCAGGAGTTTGAGACCTGCCTGGCCAACATGGTGAAACTGTGTCTCTGCTAAAAATGCAAAAATTAGCTGGGCGTGGTGGCACTCCTGTAGTCCCAGCTACTCGGGAGGCTGAGGCACGAGAATTGCTTGAACCCAGGAGGCGGAGGTTGCGGTGAGCTGAGATTGTGCCACTGCACTCCAGCCTGGGCCACAGAGCAAGACTCTGTCTCAAAAATATTAAAAATGAAATAAATAAAAATTTTTTTAAAAAACAAAATTCAGGTAACATAACCTGTAGAAACATTTTGCAGATATAATTACGCTGGTGGACATTCCTCAAGAATTGAAAATGAGGTCTCTTTCTTTTCCTTACCACTGCTGCTTTCCTAGAATAGCTGCCTCTTGGGGCTCCTGGAGAACGTAGAAGTTGACTTTTTGGATTGCAGGCTTTTGATGTGCAACACTTGGGGATCATTTTAATGAAGGGTTCTGTCTTGGCTTTCAGATTAGCACTAGAATCTTAACCATTTTTGAAGCTGGGTGATAGATCATTATTCCTTTCTATTTTGTGTGTGCTAGAACATTTTCTGGAATAAAAAGTTTAAAGAAATGATTTGTGTCCAGGCCTGGTGGCTCACACCTGTGATCTCAACACTTTGGGAGGCCGAGGCGGGCAGATCACTTGAACTCAGGAGTTCGAAACCAGCCTAGGCAACATGGTGAAACCCCGTCTCTACAAAAAATACAAAAATTTTTGTATTTTGATGGCGCATGCCTGTAGTCCCAGCTGCTGCGGAGGCTGAGGTGGGAGGATCACTTGAGCCTGGCAGGTAGAGGCTGCAGTGAGCCCTGATCGTGTCACTGCACTTTCTGCACTTCAGCCTGGGGCAACAGAGTGAGATCCTGTCTCAAAAAAAAAAAAAAAAAAGGTTTGTTCACAGATGTCTCTTTGTCCTCAGTGCTGCTATAGGTAAAGGAAAACCACCTCTGAGCTGGCCAGACTGAATGATTTTCCGGGCAGTGACAGAACAGCATCTGTTGCTTCTCACAGTTCCCTCCCAGGTGTGGTTGGCTTCTTGTTGCCTGGAGATTCCCAGCTGAAGTGTCTGCACACACTGCCCAGCAGGTGCTCTTCCTTTCTTAGTATGTGCGGGGACCTGACACCTGCTGCTTTGCTCCCTCAGCGCCTACAGTGGGCTTGTTCTGGGTGCTGTTCTTCCAAGCTCTTGGCTGCTCTTGGTCTCTAACGTCATCTTACATGTTGCTGTGTGTCTGAGTCTCTTCTCCTGCTCTTGTAGGGTAGAGGAGTAGAGACATGTAGCACAAGGGAACAATTTGCAGATACTACCATGTTTCTGAAAACAGGAGCTTAAATCCGAGGTTGAGCCTGTCCTACTCTGCAGCTAGAAGTGCTGCTGGGTTCAATTACACTCCCCAGTGCCATTTGAATGGCCCTTCCATGAAGGGTAGACTCCTGGACAGTGCAGTAAGTTATCTAGAGGTTTGTGTTTGAAATAGTCTCTGGTTAAAAAGATGCTTCTCCTTTTTTGACACCCCTCACCACCCCGAAGAATTATCCTTTCTGTCATTTTCTAGAATATCAGGGCCCTCACACCACATGGTTAAAATCATTAGTAATGCTCTGAGTTATCCCCGTGGAGACACTAACAGCTGCAGCAAACTGGAACTGCACCTGTTTTCAAGTGCTTTCTGCTTCACCCGCCTCCCACATGTGTCGGCGCTGCAGGTGGAAGAGCAGATAAAGCACCCTGGCACTCCACACCAGCTCCGAGACCGAGTCCTCCGGGCCCTCCTGCATGAGTAGCCTTGTCAGGTCCACGTAGTAAAGGGCACTGCTTCTGTGTTAACAAAACCAGCTTATTTTGCAAAGGAACCCCCTAAGCTTCCCTCCCCTCCTCTCCTCTGTTTTGGGGCATCCTTCAGCCCCGTTCATAGTTCTCAACCATCAGAGAATGCTGAGGGCCCCAGATTCCCCCCCTACCAGAGTCTTCCTCCCTCCCCACCACTACCCCAGCCCCAAGCCGCTAATAATGCACTCCCATCTCAACCATCAGAGAATGCTGAGGGCCCCAGACTCCCCCCTGCCAGAGTCTTCCTTCCTCCCCACCACTACCCCAGCCCCAAGCTGCTAATAATGCACTCCCAAGTGTTCTGTTAGACGCACTTCAGCCGCTACAGGAAAAAACGGCAATTCCTGATTTGTAGTAACCCAGCAACAGTTTCTTAGCACTGCTGCCCTTGATCGGCAACTGCTTTCCCCAGGGGGTCGTCCCAGGGTACTCACGAGGTTTTTATTTAGCCATCCTCTTGGTTCTCTTCCCTCTTCCTAGACCTCTCTCCCCACCCTCGTTTTTTGAAAACCCCATCTGACTTTCCCCCTCTTGCTCCTGGTGGGGGTAAGGAAGGAGGAGGATGCTGCTTTAGACAAGGAATAGAGCTAGTTAAGCAGAAACATTGACCTATTTCCCCACCCCCACTCCCGCCATTTTAGGGTAAATGTGCAAGTTACTATGGCAACTTCTGTTTTCACTTATCTCAGGCCTACTGACTCGTTTCTGTTGGTGCTGAATGCTGAAAAATTCTAATTCACTGGTGATTCAAGTGCCCACACTCAGCCCATTCCTGTTGTCTGGATTTCTTTTAGCAACAAAAAGGTCCTAATGTTGATAGAATTTTGTTCCATAATTTCAGCTAATGATGAATATAAGGAAGCATGTTCTACAAACTGTTCTCTGCAGAATTCTAACAAGCCACTTACCTCTTTGTTCCAGCTCTCCGCTAATTGCCGAAAGCATTATTTTAGCTTTGTTTTGGTTTGCTTGAAGGAAGTTTGACGTTTGTTAGGAGAAAAAGGGGAAAGTGTAGCCCTAGTGAGTTGTTCACTCTTGGTGTGAGCACTGCTCAGGAACTCTGGGCTTAAAAAGGATCCCCTGCATTGAAGACATTACCTTTAAGCCTGGGACGTGGCTGTCTAGGGAGTAAGAACTAGAGGGCTTTTTGGAGAGCAGATGGAGGAGAGGTGTCAAATTAATTAGGCAACTTTGTGCATGTTGGAGCTGGGTATCCTGACAGTGCCCAGCTCCCTTCTCCTTAGGTTTTCAGTCTTGTCCACATAGCTGAGGGATGCCAGGTAGGTGCCCCAGGGTGGGGCAGACATCAGGCTGGTACTTGAGACCTCCCTCTCATTTTAAAGAGCTCATCTGCTTTTATCATTATTATGTGTTGATTTATTTGTTGAAAGTGTCCTGCTGTTAAGAAATGGTTTGGGCTGGCCGTGGTGGCTGATGCCTGTGATCCCAGCACTTTGGGAGGCCAAGGTGGTGATCACCTGAAGTCAGGAGTTTGAGACCAGCCTGGCCAACATGATGAAACCCCATCTCTACTAAAAATACAAAAGTTAGCTGGGCGTGGTGGTGCACACCTGTAATCCCAGCTACTGGGGAGACTGAGGCAGGAGAATCGCTTGAACCTGCAAGGCGGAGGTTACAGTGGGCGGAGGTTACAGTGAGCCGAGGTCACGCCGTTGCCCACCAGCCTGGGTGACAGAGTGAGACTGGGTCTCAAAATAAAAAGAAGTTTGAATAAAAATAGTTTGAAAACCAGTACTGTACCAGGCTGTGCATTATGCTACAAGATGGACAGGGGCTGAGCTCTTGAGCAAAACCAAAGCTTAGGACCCTCTTCTTAGTTACTTTTCTTCTTAAGTGTGGTCTTCATTGTGATGATAAACAAATCAGACATTGTTTTCTGTTACTCACAATGATGAGTTTTATAGGAAAGAAAAACACGTGGAGCTATTGATCCCGATCTGCAGCAGATTTGCATGTGAGTAAGTGCTGAGTGGTAGGGGCAGGAGTGGCCAGGAGTTGAGAAAAGGAAGTGGCTCAGGCTGGGGCTAGTCAAAGACCGCTTTATGGAGGAGGAGTCGCCAGCGTCTGACTCGTAGGTCGGTGGGTGGCGTTCCCAGTGTTTGTTGTATGTTTAAAGGAATGGTGTAGGACTTGCGTTAAAGAGCAACATCGTGCGCAGGATCCAGTAGATTTAGTAGATTTGAAGCACTGGATATAATATTTGTTGTTGTTTGAATACTTCACATACATTATAGTCTCATTTTATTTCCACCTGACAGCAATCGAGTGAACTACGTCTACTGCAGGCTCCAAAAAGTCAGGTTAGAACCCAGATGAGTCTGATTTCACAGCCTGAGCACCTAATGTCACTCTGACACTCTGCCCGCCACGGCCCTATGTTGTTCCTGGCCTGGCCAGAACCTGCTCATGATGGCCTCACATCTTGCTTATGGACCATCCTAGCAGTTTCTCATCTGCGAGTGACTGGATTCATCCTGCAGTCAGCATCCTGCTCACCCACTCCTGAGTGGCCACCTACCACAAGTGGGAGGAAGTACAGCTCCTCGTTTGGCTCCTTGGGCCTCCCAGATCTGTCCTGACTTTCCATCCTAATCACTCCCAGTTGTCCTGACTGTACTGTCTCCACAGCCTTCCCATGGTGCCGAAGTCAGAGCTGACTTTGTACAGCCTTTGCTCATACCCTGTTCTGATCCTTCCCTCTGACGTCCTCCACTGCAACCCAGCCCAGTTCCAACTTACTTGCATAGAGCTCCCATAAGCATTCAGCCCATAGAACCTGGACATCTCTCCCTTCCTCTGGACTTAACTGCATTGATCTCTTTCAGTTATCTATACTCTGCATAAACTTCCTTGTGGCATACTTTACACTGGTGTTTTGTTTAACTGAGGTACTGTGGATAACACCAAAACCTTCTTGCATAGGTGTGGAAAAGGCCTTTTGTGAGCTGGTCCCTGTCTGGCTTTACATAGAACAGGCTACTTAACTTCGCTAAACTTCAGTTTCCTCATCTGTAAAATGGGGAAGAATAATAGTATCTACCACATAGGGTTGTTTTGAGGATTAAGTGTACTTAACTTAGTGCCTGGTATGTAGTAATGCTCAGTAAAATATATTGTGTTGTCATTTCCCACCATTTCTTCCCACCTGCCCCTGTATTTGTTACTCCAGTCATGTTGAGCTACAGCTCTCTAATCCCTCTGCCTGGAGATTCCTCCTCTGACCATTAACCCATTTATGCCGGAAGTTGCAAGTTTTTTTTTTGTGAAAACTCAGACCTTGGCGATGACCGTGAGCGTCGGATATAAATAATTCCACCAAGCTTAATTTTTTTTTTTATTTTGAGACTGGGTCTCACTGTTGCCAAGGCTGGAATGTATTGGCGCGCTCACGGCTCACTGCAGCTTTGACCTCCCAGGCTCGTGTGATCCTCCCCTGTCAGCCTCCCTAGTAGCTGCGCCTACAGGCATGTGCCACCATGCCTGGCTAATTTTTGTATTATTTTATAGAGACAGAGTCTCCCTAGGTTGCCCAGGTTGGTCTTGAACTCCTGGGCTCAAGTGATCCACCTTCCTCGGCCTCCCACAGTGCTGGGATTACAGGCATAAGCCATTGCACCCAGCCTAAAATGCAAACTAATTTAACATTGAGTCACATTTAAGCTGGGCGTGGTGGCTCACACCTGTAATCCCAGCACTTTGGGAGGCCAAGGCAGGCGGATCACGAGGTCAGGAGATCGAGACCATCCTGGCTAACACGGTGAAACCTTCCCTCCGTCTCTACTAAAAATACAAAAAAATAGCTGGACATGGTGGTGCGCGCCTATAGTCCCAGCTACCCCAGAGGCTGAGGCTGGAGAACGGCGTGAACCTGGGAGACAGAGTGTGCAGTGAGCCAGGATCGTGCCACTGCACTCCAGCCTGGGCGACAGAGCAAGACTCAGTCTCAAAAGAAAAAAAAAAAATATTGAGTCACATTGAGCTTCTGAGAAGATAGCTTGTTGTTATTTCTCCTTGTTATTATTGTTATTATATCCTTGTTGTTATTTCTCTTGCTCCGTTGTTATTTCTACAAATTATGGCAAATGATAAGGTTATTTTTAAACATTTAATTTTAAACCATCTATTCCCCAAAATGCAGATTGCAGACTCCCCAATTCACAGGCATTTTATTTATTTATTTATTTTTGAGTCAAAAGATACCAAAAAGGATGTTAAATCTCATTAGTTATTAGAGAACTGCAAATGAAAAGCATAATGGCATACTGGATAGACCATCCAGCGTTGGCAAGGATGCAGAGCAATTGCCGATCCTCTCATGCAGCTGGGTGTCAACTGGTAACATTCAGGAGAACATATCTTTAGGAAGATTTATGAGAGCTGAGCTTGCTCATACCCTGTGACCCAGCAATTCCACTCCTAAGTTTATATCCAAAAGAAATGTGTATTCACACGTATCACAAACATTGTACAAGAATGTTCACAGCAACATTATTCATAATAGCCCTAAACTAGAAGCCACTGAAATGTCTCTAAATAGTAGAAAGGGTAAATAAGTTGTAGTATATTCAGAAGATGGAAACTAAACAGTAATTCTGTTCCAGTGAATGAACCTGCCTTCACAACAATATGAATGAATCCCATACACATGATTTACACGAAAAGGCTGGGTGCAGCAGCTCCCACATGTAATCCTAGCATTTTGGGAGGCAGAGGCAGGTGGGTCACCTGAGGTCAGGATTTTGAGACCAGCCTGGCCAACATAGTGAAACTCTGTCTCTACTAAAAGTAACAAAAATTAGCTGGGCATGGTGGCACATTCCTGTAATCCCAGCTAGTTGGGAGGCTGAGGCAGGAGAATTGCTTGAACCCAGGAGGCGGAGGTTGCAGTGAGCTGAGATCACACCACTGCACTCCAGCCTGGGCAACAAGAGCGAGACTCTGTCTCAAAAATAATAATAATTATTATTATTTAATAATTTACATGAAAGAAGTCAGATACTGAAGCCTGCAAACAGGTACAACCCATGGTGATAGAAATTGGGATACTGAGAGAGGGATTGGTAATGGCCAATGAGCATGAGAGGGAATTGGGGTTCCTGGTAAATAAGTTCTTAAGACTTAACGTTTATAACAGATGTGCTTTTCTGTATCTATATTTCAATTTAAAAAAAAATTCTAAAAATATATCTAGGCTGGGCGCGGTGGCTCACGCCTGTAATCCCAGCACTTTAGGAGGCCAAGGCCGGCGGATCGCGAGGTCAGGAGATCGAGACCATCCTGGCTAACACAGTGAAACCCCGTCTCTACTAAAAAAATACAAAAAAATTAGCCCGGCGTGGTGGTGGGCGCCTGTAGTCCCAGCTACTCAGGAGGCTGAGGCAGGAGAATGGCGTGAACCCGGGAGGCGGAGCTTGCAGTGAGCCGAGATCCCGCCACTGCACTCCAGCCTGGGCGACAGAGCGAGACTCCGTCTCAAAAAAAAAAAAAAAAAAAAAGAGAATTCTAAAAATATATCTGAATAGAACAGAATTAAGGCAACTGAAACTGTCTAAAGTTCATAATTCAACTTTAAATACAGATAGAAGCATATTTTTAGGTACAGCAGCGCTGTCTCTATGAAAAAAAAAAATAGCCAGGAGTGGTGGTATGCGCCTGAAGTCCCAGCTACTTGGGAGGCTGAGATGAGAAGATCGCTTGACCCCAGTAGTTTGAGTCTGCAGTGAGCTATGATTGCACCACTGCACTCCAGCCTGGGTGACAGAGCAAGACTTTGTCTTAAAAAGAAAAAAAGTGGGAAGTGGGCAGGTGGCTCATGTCTGTAATCCCAGCACTTTGGGAGGCCGAGGCAGGTGGATCAACTGAGGTTAGGAGTTTGAGACTAGCCTGGCCAACATGGTGAAACCCCCGTCTCCACTAAAAATAGAAAAAAATTAGCCGGGCATGGTGGCGGGCGCCTGTAATCCCAGCTACTCGGGAGGCTGAGACAGGAGAATCGCTTGAACCCGGTAGGCAGAGGTTGCTGTGAGCTGAGATCGTGCCACTGCACTCCAGCCTGGGCGACAGAGCGAGACTCCGCCTCAGAAAAAAAAAAAGAAGCAGCAGCAGCTTGATCAGATACAGGGTTGATTGTTCTTTTTTTTTGATTGGGGAGGGGGAGCAAGAATACTTTGCAGGTGGTATGTGGTATATACTATCGTATGGAGGCACATGTTAGATTGTGTCTTCATGATGTGAGCAGTCATTGATGATCATTGCCTAGATCCATTAATTCATTTAGAGTTGCAAATAATGATATTCCAATTCTATTCGTCCCTTCATTTATTAGCTGAGGTACTTCTATGAAAGGAAACTTCTCCTATTAGTTATTAGTAACTTTGAAGTACAGTTCATCTAGTAAAGCCGGATAAATGTTTGATTCTTGGCCGAGCACAGTGGCTCACACCTGTAATCCCAGCACTTTGGGAGGCCGAGGCGGGCGGATTGCCTGAGGTCAGGAGTTCGAGACCAGCCTGGCCAACATAGTGAATCCCCGTCTCTATTAAAAATACAAATTTAGTCGGGTGTGATGATACACGCCTGTAGTCCCATCTACTTGGGAGGCTGAGGCAGGAGAATCGCTTGAACCCGGGAGGTGGAGGTTGCAGTGAGCCAAGATCGTACCACTGCACTCCGCCTGGGTGAGACTACATCTCCAAAAAAAAAAAAAAAAGTTTCATTCTTTTGCTTTATCAGTTTTAAAAATAATGAGTTGGCTGGGCACGGTGGCTCATGCCTGTAATCCCAGCGCTTTGGGAGGCCGAAGCGGGTGGATCACCTGAGGTCGGGAGTTCGAGACCAGCCCAACCAACATGGAGAAACCCTGTCTCTACTAAAAATACAAAATTAGCCAGGCCTGGTGGCGCATACCTGTAGTCCCAGCTACTCGGGAGGCTGAGGCGGGAGAATCACTTGAACCCAGGAGGCAGAGGTTGCGGTGAGCCGAGATTGTGCCACTGCACTCCAGCCTGGGCAACAAGAGCAAAACTCCGTCTCAAAAAGTAAAAAAGTAAAATAAATAAAAACAATGAGTTGGTGGTTCCCTAGCATCTTCCAAAAGTGACCAAAGAGGGTGGTTTGGTTTTCCTTTGTAGCATCTTATGAAGTCATGGATTACTTTTTTTTTTCTTTTTATTAAATAGAGATGGGGTCTTACTATGTTGCCCATGCTGGTCTCGAACTCCTGGGCTCAAGTGATCCTCCTGCTTCTGCCTCCCAAAGTGCTGAGATTACAGGTGTGAGCCACTGTGCCCCGCTGTATTACAATTTATATATATATATATATATATATATATATATATATATATTTTTTTTTTTTTTTTTTTTTTTTTTTTTTTTTTTTTTGAGACGGAGTCTCGCTCTGTCGCCTGGGCTGGAGTGCAATGGCAGGATCTCAGCTCACTGCAAGCTCTGCCTCCCGGGTTGAGGCTACATTTTTCAATTCATTACACTTACTATCTCTACTGAGGCACAGTTAACCGCCTTTGGCCATGGAGAATTTATTCAACTTGGCTCGTGAGTCTTTTTTATCATATCCACTGTAGTCTTTGGTGGCTTCCTTGCTTTCTGGTATCACAGGTTGTTCTAGGCTCATATTTTTTCCTCTCTCAGATCTGGAATCAACCATTTCTCCCAGGAGATCTGGTTTATTTTGCTGGGAAGTCGTATTTAAAGGTATTCATCTGGGCACTAGGGATGGTACCAGGTTAGTCATTGTTTTTAGAGGCTTTTTCAGCAGAGCTAGGAATTACTATTTTTAAGATGAAATATGTTGCAAGTTCTTGTTGATTCCTTTCCTTTCTTTTCCTTTCCTCCTCTCCCCTCCCCTTCCTTTCCCATCCCTCTCCTTCCCTCTTCCACTTCCTCCCTCCCTCCCTTCCTTCCTTGCCACCACATCCAGCTAATTTTTTTTTTTTTTTGGGTAAAGATGGAGTTTTGCCATGTTGCCCAAGCTGGTCTCAAACTCTTGGGCTCAAGTGATCCTCCTGCCTCGACCTCCCCAAGTGCTGGGATTGCAGGTGTGAGCCACTGTACCCAGCATATACTTGCTGATACTTTATTCAGCTTCACATCTGTGGGTTTTTACTTAATTTCATCAGTTGTCCATCTGTATCTCCCATTCAAAAATCCTGTGACTGCGGTGGTGCACGCCTGTAATCCTAGCTACTCAGGAGGCTGAGGCGGGGGGATCACTTGAGCTCAGGTGTTTGAGGCCAGCCTGGGCAACACAGAAGACCCTATCTCTTAAAAAAATAAAAGAATCCCATGCCAAAAACTCCAGTCCTCAGCCAACATATTACTCATTAACTTTATCTCACAATATGCCCCAGGAGTCTCAAAAGTAACATTACCATCAACAAAGTGATTTCTGAAAATAGCTACTTTTTTACTTTTACAATTCTTTTTTGTCCTTGGAGACTCTCATGATGGATTTCAAAGTCATTTGGAACGTTTCCACTCTGAATTTTCTGCATGGAGTCAGGACAGAGGTTCGTTTGTTTCATCATCTTCAGATTTTTAGGGAGTGCCTTTTTTGTTGTTAGTTTTGTTTTGTAATAAAATATATTTCTTATTTCTCTACCTGTGAAATGAAAAAAATCTCAAAAGAATGGTCAGAAGTCTGACTTCTTTCTTCTATCTCATTCACCCTAATCCTTTACTTCTTCATGGGTTACTATTTAAACAGTTTTATAATTTATCATTCCTTTATTTGTATTTATATTTTTGAGCCAGGGTCTTGCTCCGTTGCCCAGGCTGGAGTGCTGTGGCACGATGTCGGCTCACTGCAGGCCCTGCCTCCTGGGTTCAAGCTATTATTCTCCTGCCTCAGTCTTCCGAGCAGCTGGGATTACAGGTGTATGCCTCCATGCCCGGCTCTTTTTTTTTTTTTCGTATTTTTAGTAGAGATGGGGTTTCACCATGTTGGCCAGGCTGGTCTGGAACTACTGACCTCAAGTGATCTGCCTGCCTTGGCCTCCAAAAGTGCTGGGATTGCAGGCATGAGCCACCGTGCCTGACCCATTTTTTCAAATTCAAAGAAATACACGTATGTATTTATAATCATTCCTTCTTAAATAGGTAGCATTCTGCAATAGTTTTCTTCCCCTTGCTATTTTTACTTTTTTTTTTTTTTTTTTTTTTTTGAGACGGAGTCTTGCTCTGTCACCCAGGTTGGAGTCCAGTGGCGTGATCTCGGCTCACTGCAACCTCCGACTCCCTGGTTCGAGCAATTCTCCTGCCTCAGCCTGCCGAGTAGCTGGGATTATAGACACGTGCCACCATGCCCAACTAATTTTTATATTTTTAGTAGAGATGGGGTTTCACCATGTTGGCCAGGCTAGTCTTGATCTCCTGACCTTGTGATCTACCTGCCTCAGCCTCCCAAAGTGCTGGGATTACAGGCGTGAGCCATGGCACCCGGCTGCTATTTTTACTTTTTACTGTTTTTACGTACTCCTGGGGGTGATTTCAGGACATTTTAAACAACGACCTGTCAGATTAAGATGAAAGAAATGGGCTGGGTGTGGTGATGTGCACCTGTAGTTGCAGCTACTTGGGAGGCTGAAGTGAGAGAATCACCTGCGCACAGGAGTTCAAGGCCAGCCTGGGCAACATTGTAACTCCCTATCTCTTTTAAAAAACAGACGGCCACTGCACTGGGGTCTCCTCTCTGCCCTGTCCCCTTTCCACTTGAGGTTTTTCTAGAAGCTGCTTTGCCAAAACAAAGAGGTTGTGGCTTCGTGCGCACCAGATTTCTCTGTAGAATGGCTCTTCTCTTCCTGCAAATACTAGAGAGAATTTAATGATTTCATTCAGCCTGTGGCTTTTTTTTTTTTTTTTTGCCTTAGCCATAATTAACGGAGACATAACATGCTACACTGATCTGTGTCAAGCTACACCACATGTGAAAGTTTCTTGGCTGATGGCATCATTGAGATTTAGAAATTAAAGTGAAGATTCAAATTTGTACCAGTCTGGGCGACATGGCAGAACCCCATCTCTACAAAAAATACAAAAATTAGCTAGGCATGGTGGCACACACCTATAGTCCCTGCTACTCAGAAGACTGAGGTGGGAGGATCACTTGAGCCTAGGAGGTGGAGGCTGCACTGAGCCGTAATTGCGCCACTGCACTCCAGCCTGGGTGCCAGAGCATGACCCTGTCTCAAAAAAAAAAAGACAAGAAAAGAAATTTGTAGACCACCCTGCTACGTAGCATATTTTAAAATTTAAGAACTGGTTTTTTGTTTGTTTGTTTGTTTGTGCCTGATTGATGGCTTCTGTGATCTAATGTGTTTTTAACGCTTGCAGTTCCTCTCTTATTGATGATCATTCCTTGACTACTTGGAATTCAAAAGATATAAAACCTGTGGTCTCTGCAGACCTACGACTGCTCACCAGGCTTCTCTCACATTGTAATTCCAGCAGTGCATCTTCAAATCCAAAATCAGCTGTAAATTCACCTAGTTCTTTGCATTAAACTGGATTAATCATTGTAAATGATTGGTTTTGGGGTAGACTTTAAAATGTTGAATTATTTATGTACGCCTTGCCTGCTAAACTAGATTATGACAGTTTGAGTGTAGCACTCTTCATTTAAAATATTTGTGTTTTGCAATTATAAGGATATTAGCAAAATAAGATCATTTCAATTGGGGAAAAACTGACAGCTTCTATGTACTAGTGTTTGCAGCAAAATGTAAAAATTGCCTACGACCAGAGAGCTGTGGTGTTGAATTTAACTATTAATTTCTTAGAACTTGATCCTATATTTTACTGTGACCCTGCCCACGAGGACTTTTCATGATAAATAAGAGGGGACTGAACAACTGCTGTGAGCCATACTTCAGTTAATCTTTCATCATTTAAAAGCCTTGCCTGAGAACTCCTGGAGTATGAATTATCTGTCTTTTTTTTTTTTTTTGAGACGGAGTCTCGCTCTGTCACCGAGGCTGGAGTGCAGTGGCGCGATCTCTGCTCGCTGCAAGGTCCGCCTCCCGGGTTCACGCCATTCTCCCACCTCAGCCTCCCAAGTAGCTGGGACTACAGGCGTGTGCCGCCACGCCTGGCTAATTTTTTGTATTTTTAGTAGAGATGGGATTTCACCATATTGTCCAGGATGGTCTCAATCTCCCGACCTTGTGATCCACCCACCTCAGCCTCCCAAAATGCTGGGATTACAGGCGTGAGCCACTGCGCCTGGCCTGTCTGTCTCTTAATGTCTAGTTTCTATAGTAGAGCAAAGCCAAATTGAAGACCGTCCTGAGATGATGTGTGTGCATGTGTGTGCTAGAGCAGTTCATTAGAAATCTTCCGAATGCAGCTGGCGCAGTGGCTCAGGCCTGGAGTCCGAACACTTTGGGAGGCTGAGGCAGATGGAGAGCTTCAGCCTATGAGTTCCAGACCAGCCTGGGCAATCAATATAGCAAGACCCTTCTCTATTTAAAAAATAAAAATAAGGCCGGGCGCGGTGGCTCACGCCTGTAATCCCAGCACTTTGGGAGGCCGAGGCGGGCGGATCACGAGGTCAGGAGATCGAGACCATCCCGGCTAAAACGGTGAAACCCCGTCTCTACTAAAAATACAAAAAATTAGCCGGGCGTAGTGGCGGGCGCCTGTAGTCCCAGCTACTTGGGAGGCTGAGGCAGGAGAATGGCGTGAACCCGGGAGGCGGAGCTTGCAGTGAGCCGAGATCCCGCCACTGCACTCCAGCCTGGGCGACAGAGCGAGACTCCGTCTCAAAAAAAAAAATAAAATAATAAAATAAAATAAAATAAAATAAAAGGAAAATTTTTTAAAAAATCTTCAGGAATATCAAGTTTGTTGACTGACCATTGTATATGGGAAAGTTGGGTCAGGATGCAGGTGAAGGAGCCATATTTGAGAGAGGGAAGTTTTCATTTTAGTCCTGAGATAACTGGGTAATAAGTTGTCGATTTTGTGATTTCTGACTTCCTCAGAACTCTGAAAGTATCCCTGATAGAGTTCTTGTCAGGTTGGTAAAGATGTATTTTCTTATTTTAATCTCTAGAAATGATGAAGCCCGTCCTTACTTTTGGAGAAAGAGTGTCGCAGGTCAGCTTTAGCATAATGAGAAACAGCAATATCCTGACTTTACTGGTCAGAATTTGTGAGCAAAATGATCACTCCTTCTGTGAGAAGAGATGGGAAGTGCTGCCCTTTTAGCCATGCTTGTAGGTGACCTTTGCTGTACAGGGCGGGCTGGCAGGGAGGGCCAGGTTGCAGTGAGCTCTCCATGGTCATGGCCTTTGATGTTGGGACGGGGAATGGGGAGTCTGATTCTCCACCCCCATCATCCTCCCACACACCGGCTTAATACGCTTCTTCCCCAGCTTAATACGCTTATTGTAAGCTCCTTACTGCAAAGCGTTAGGCTCTCAGTAGACTAGAAATTATGTTTCTCATGCAGGATGATTGAGTAATAACAATATGACTGTCTTAATGTCAATATGAATTTGTCTCATCTTGTCTGAAACATAATTGAACAAGTTCAGGTTCAGACAGGTCTTAGAGTCCACTATTCATTTCTCAAGAGCAGGTTCTTCAAACACACACACACACACACACACACACACACACACACACACACCCTTTGTTTTTTATCCTTCCCTAACAGTTTCCTAGTATAGAATAAACTGGTTAGGTTGTTGTGTATGTATGCAGTGTGAGGCCGCTGGTTAGTTCTTATTAGAAGACGTCCCCCAGTAATCAGAACCTGTGGTGTCTGCATGTGTGCGTGTGCGCTGTCAGTGTGGCCAGGTACGACTGGAATGATCAGTAGCAGTCGTCAGATTCCTTTTAGCAGAAAAAGATCTTCAAACCTGACTTGGTGTTTTTTCTTTTTTATCCTTTTTGTTGTTGTTGTTTTTGAGACACAGTCTCCTTCTGTCTCCAGGCTGGAGTGCAGTGGCGCAATCTCATCTCACTGCAACCTGCACCTCCTGGGTTCAAGTGATTCTCCTGCCTCAGCCTCCCGAGTAGCTGGAATTACAGGCGCGGCCACCACACCCGGCTAATTTTTGTATTTTTACTAGAGATGGGGTTTCACCATGTTGGCCAGGCTGGTCTCAAACTCCTGAGCTCAATCCATCCGGCCGCCTCGGCCTCCGAAAGTGCTGGGATTACAGGCATAAGCCACCACACCCAGCCTAAAGTTTCTACTTTAAAGAAAGAAATTCTCAGGCTGGACACGGTGGCTCACACTTGTAATCCCAGCACTTTGAGAGGCCGAGGTGGGTGGATCACGAGGTCAAGAGATCGAGACCATCCTGGCCAACATGGTGAAACCCCGTCTCTACTAAAAATACAAAAATTGGCTGGGCTTGGTGACGTAGTCCCAGGTACTTGGGAGGCTGAGGCAGGAGAATCGCTTGAAACCGGAGGTGGAGGTTGCAGTGAGCCGAGATGGCGCCATTGCACTCCAGTGACAGAGTGAGATTCCATCTCAAAAATAAATAAATGAATAAATAAATTTTCAATACAGTGGTGGCATTGGTTTTGTTTTTTTTTTTTTCTAAAACGGAGTTTCACTCTTGTTGCCCAGGCCCAGACTGGAGTGCAGTGGCACAATCTCGGCTCACTGCAACCTTTGGCTCACTGCAACCTTTGGCTCCTGGGTTCAAGCAATTCTTCTGCCTCAGCCTCCCGAGTAGCTGGGATTATAGGTGCGTGCCCCCATGCCCAGCTAATTTTTGTATTTTTGGTAGAGACGGGGTTTCACCATGTGGGCCAGGATGGTCTTGAACTCCTGACCTCAAGTGATCTGCCTGCTTCGGCCTCCCAGAGTGCTAGGATTACAAGCATGAGCCACCGCGCCCGGCAGGTGCCATTGGTTTTTAAAGTGGAACTTGAGTCCCTCTAGTGGGTAGGGTATAATTCACCTTCCCAGCTTGAGATAGAATGGAAGATGCCAGTCGTGATTTTCTTGGAACCAGCTTTGAAATCCAGTCTTCTCATCAGCGCCGGTGTCACCCTCCCCAGCTAAAAGGCAGTGCTTAGCTCGCCGCCGGCTTGGTCCCGACATCAGCCACGATTCAGGAGTCCTCCTCCTCTGCCCACGTGATCTTAGTGGCCCTGATCCTTCCTCGCATGTCATCTCATGGCTGTGGTTCACCGGCTGCTTTATCTCAAGCCTCAGCCAATATAAACTCAAACTACAAGTTGATGATGTTTCTGCCCTGCAGTTCTTTCCAGCCAAGAACACAGTGCCCCCAGGGTCCTCGAGTTGTCATGAAATAAATAATTGTGCAGGTCTGCTTTGGGTACCACAGGTACACGAAGGACGTTTAGCAGTTGGAGGAGTTACATCTGATAGCCAGAACAAAGGCAGTGCGGTGCGGCTGGAAAGAACGTGGGTTCGGCGTTCAGTCCTAACTGCAGTTACTGTGTGACCTTGAGCTGTGTGACATAGCCTTTCTGTATCTTCGTTTTCCTGGAGATGCCTAAACTATCTTGTGGGGTTCTTATTTTTTTAATTAAAAATTTTTTTTTTCTTAAGAGACAGGGTCTCACCCCGTTTCCTGGGCTAGATTGCGGTGGCGCAATCAGAGCTCCCTGCAGCCTGGAAGTCTTGGGCTCAAATGATCCTCCCTCCTCTGCTTTCAGAGTAGCCGGGACCACAGGCATACACCATTGTGGCTGACTAGTTTTAAACGTTTTTTTAGAGATGGAGGTCTTACTATGTTGCTGGGGCTGATCTCAAACTCCTGGGCTCAAGTGATGCTCCTGCCATGGCCCCCCAAAGTGCTGGGATTATAGGCGTGAATGACTGCACCTTGCAGGGTTGTTTTAAGTGCTGGACATAACACACACAAAACCCTTTGTGTTTTCAGTGCTCTATGATTGGTAGCAGAAGTTGTGGAAATTTTCTCTGAGTTCATTACAATGCATGAGGTTTAATTATTCGGATAACTTTCTTCTCTTTTCTATGCTTCCTTTTTCTTGCAGTCACCACCAAGTAAGCGAAGAAAATTAGAGAAACCGAGAAAACCCATAACATTCGTGGTGCTGGCGTCCGTGATGAAGGAATTATCCCTCAAAGCATCACCTCTGCGCTCGGAGACGGCGGAAGGCATAGTCGTTGTCACGACATGGATTGAAAAAATTCTCACTGATTTGAAGGTACCTGCTTAACCATATTGACGAAGTACTCATAATGATCCTTCTCTTTTTTCTTTTTTCTTTTTTTTTTTATTGAGAGTTTGGAGAGAGGGGAAACGTGATTTCCCACAAAATTCTGTTTTTCCTCCAAACAGGTCCAGCATAAACGAGTTCCCTGTGGAAAAGAGGAAGTCAGCCTTTTCCTAACGGCCATAGAAAACTCCTGGATTCATTTAAGGAGAAAGAAAAGAGAGCGTGTGAGACAGCTGAGAGAAGTTCCCCGAGCTCCTGAGGACGTCATTCAGGCCTTGGAAGAGAAAAAGCCCACCCCCAAAGAGTCTGGCAATAGCCAAGAACTGGCCAGGGGCCCCCAGGAGAGGACCCCCTGTGGGCCTGCTCTGCGGGAAGGCGAGGCTGCCGCTGTGGAGGGCCCGTGCCCGAGCCAGGAGTCCCTGTCCCAGGAGGAAAACCCGGAACCCACGGAGGATGAAAGGAGTGAGGAAAAGGGAGGGGTGGAGGTTTTGGAAAGTTGTCAAGGCTCTAGCAACGGAGCCCAGGACCAAGAGGCTTCTGAGCAGTTCGGCAGCCCAGTGGCTGAAAGGGGGAAACGTCTCCCAGGAGTGGCCGGACAGTACCTGTTTAAGTGTTTGATAAACGTTAAGAAGGAGGTGGACGATGCCTTAGTGGAGATGCACTGGGTTGAGGGCCAGAACAGGGATCTGATGAACCAGCTTTGCACCTACATACGTAACCAAATTTTCAGGCTTGTTGCAGTTAACTAGAAACCTCCTGCACAGTTGGAAACGTGTTGATAGTAACTTGCTTTGGAGTGGCCTGTGGGGTGGCAAGAGGAATCCTACCAGCGGCCCATTAGTAGCACGATGTGGAATTATCTTCGAAAACAAAAACCTATGAATCTGTCCCCCACCTCCCCCCGCCTCCTTCCCGCTTTTTGAGTTACAGGGAGTCGTAGTGTGGTCATTTACAAGGAGGAATTGTGGTCATCAGTAACAACAGAAAGCCCTCAGTAAACTCCCGAGGGATTGCAAGCTGGCTCAAGCTGGCCCCTCAGCTCTGGACTGCCTCTGCAAGGTCAGAAGGGTTGTTTGTGGAGTCTGGGCTGGGCAGCACTGCCTAGAATATCATGCTGTCTCTGTCACCCAAGGGTGTTTCTTGAGGAGGGGTGGCTCTCTCTGCCTCCAGCTGGAGGCCCTGGTACCCTGTTCTAGGTCACTCTTCAAGATGGGGCCTACCTTGCATCAATCCCACAAAGGGAGCTGTATGGTGGGTGGTGGGGAATCTGGGAGAGAAACCTTAGTAATGCTGGGAAGGAGCAGCAGAGTCTGGGGACCACCCGGTAAATGGCACATTCCTGACACCTGGCTGTTTTGATGTTGCTTATTTCAGAAGCAGAATTAGGTAAGCAAAACTCCCCGGTGTGACTGAGGCACACAGAAGGCACCCATACCCCCACCTCCAGCCTGTTGACAGTACCATTTTGTAGCAGTTTTACTACTGTGTGATTTTTGTTTGGACATCTGAAGTAGAGCTTGTTTTGTTTTTAAATAAGAATATTCACAAATTAAAAACCAGCGGTCCTATTTGAATCCTGGGGTTAGCTGAGTGAGCGGCTGATGATAGAAATGAGAAATAGAACAAAATAGTATGTGCCGTAGGTAGCTTAAGAAAGTCTCAGATATTTTGTTGCTGATCAAATACTGTTTTTTTGTGGCTTCACTTGTAATCCCCCCTGTACTTACCTACTCACATTGGAGAGTTCTGAGGCCGGAGTAACTGTGTCCTTGAAACACGTTTCTAATTGGAATGCCAGGGTTCAGTAGCCGTCCCCCCGGAAAGGGGTGACCTTTTGCTGTGCTTGATGTTGCATCAGCAGCCTAGGGTTCTGTTTAGACTAAAATCTTGGCCAGAGCTCCTTGCCATCTGCTAAGAAGACTGGGGCTGAGTAGTTAAGCCAGCCTTCTGAGAGGTGGCTGTTGGTCAGGACGGGAAGCTGGTGACCTTGGCATGTCTTGGCAGCAGCTAGATCAGGCCCTCGGCAGAGACACAGGAAGCGGAACTGCTGTGCCTTAACTTGGCTGTGGAGCTGGAGCTGGAGAAGGCAGCATACTGACCAGTGGCTTTTTGATTGATTGTTTGTTATGAGGTGGAGTTTTACTCTTGTTGTCTAGGCTGGAGTGCCGTGGTGCGATCTTAGCTCACTGCAACCCCCGCCTCCCGGGTTCAAGCGATTCTCCTGCCTCAGCCTCCCAAGTAGCTGGGATTACAGGCACGCGCCACCACGCCTGGCTAATTTTGTGTTTTTGGTAGAGATGGGATTTCACCATGTTGGCCAGGCTAATCTCGAACTCATGATCTCGGGTGATCCGCCCACCTTGGCCTCCCAAAGTGCTGGGATTACAGCCGTGAGCCACTACTCCCAGCCTCTGACCAGTGTTCTTAACCTGGTCCGTGGACCTCCAGAGAGTCCATGTACCTCCTAGAGTTACTTCTAAAAGCTCTGTGAGCATGTGTGTGTGTGTGTGTGTGTGTGTGTATTTTTTTTCCTGGAGAGAGGGTTCCCAGAACCCTCAGACACAGACAAAGGGGTCAATAACCCACTAAGGATTAAGAATCATTATTCTAGTCCAAGCATTCATGTGTCAGGCTGCAAAAAACAATACCCAGGGTCACACAGAGCCAAGACTCAATTCAGGACCGTGGATTCCCCTGGTCTAGAAATTTTCTGCTGTGCCAGCCCACACCACCCCACTGTCCTTACCTCGAGTGAATATTACATTTGAGTCATTTGCTGGGCCCAAACCTAGTTTCCTTGGTATAATTTTAGGATAATTGTTTAAGTGGCAACTATTCATTCAGTAAGTAGTAAGTACTTATTGTTTGCTTGTTTCATTATGAAAGAGTGGCACATGCTCATTAAAGATTTGGAAAAATGAAAGTCAAAACAACAAAATCACCCCGAGTCCCAACCTTCTGTAACATAACCACTCTTGGCATTGGCGTGTTCCTTTCTAGTCTCTCTGTAGACGGGGTGTGTGAGTGTGTGGGTTTAACTTTGGTTGTCCTCATGCTGCGTATTCAGTTTTGTATTCTGGTCCTTTGTTCATTTAACATCTTACAAGTATTTGTCCATGTTGTAACAGTAGTGTATTAGCTTACACTCCTTGCCTGTTCAAAATGTCTTTCAGGCACAGCACTGGCCTTTAAGCCTGTGTCGTAGGGATTTCCAGAGAATGCTCTGTGTATTGAAGCACAGAAGGTGTTTCTGTGTCTCAGTGTGTTTCTGTCCCTAGGTTTAAGGCTTCATGTCATGGAGGAGATTTTATAGATGTCAAGCTAATGACCTTAGAGTTTTAAAAAATCCGTGACCGTGGCCAGGCGCAGTGGCTCACGCCTGTAATCCCAGCACTGTGAGGCTGAGATGGGCGCATCGCATGAGGTCGGGAGTTTGAGACCAGCCTGGCCAACATGGCGAAACCCCGTCTCTACTCAAAATACAAAAATTAGCCGGGCATGATAGCACGTGCCTGTAATCCCAGCTACTCGGGAGGCTGAGGCAGGAGACTCGCTTGAACCTGGGAGGTGGAGGTTGCAGTGAGCCGAGAATGCCACTGCACTACAGCCTGGGCGACAAAGTGGGACTGTCTCAAAAAAAAAAAAAAAAAAAAAAAAAAAGGAACCCATGAGCAGGCCAGCTTTCAGTCTGGAGCCGAGTGCCTTCTGTGCATTTGGATGTTTCCATTTCCTTCCCTGAGAAGATTTTCTTAGGCTACCTAGTGAGAGAACATTGAAAATATTTTTAAAGGACATCTAAGCATTGTTTTGGTCATGCATATGCTTTATAATTGTGTGTTGTTTCATAGCATATACCTCTGGTACAGGTGGGCAAGTTTTTCTTTGAAGAAATGGGTTATTGACTCATATGTCATAACCTTGAGTGTTACTCTCCCGGTGTCCAGAGGTCACATTCATGTTGCGGGGTTGGTATGAAATTAAATCTTGGTGATGTGACCCTACATTCTCTTCTGGTCCCTAGAATCGGCTTCTGGTCTCCTGATAACTGAAGTGGAGACAGAAGTTGAGCCTGTTGCCCAGGCAAACTAAAGCTGCTTTTGTTCTTCGGAATCTGCTTTGCCTCCGTCAGCCTGCTTCCTTCCCCACACATGCTGGCCGCACTGTCCCCACTCCAGACCTCTGCTGTGTGTCCTGGGCAGGGCCGCGTTTTGGCAGTACCCTTTCAACTCATCCTAAGCTTCGTGTAGATTACTTTAGTATATATTTTTTATAAAACATAAAGCCTTTCCTCTCGATGGAAATCAAAGCTTACCATGTGAGCACTCGAACTTCTAAGTTGTGACAGGAATAACAAAACTGCAAGGAGTGGAAAAGATGGAAAAGCCTGTGGGAAATCCGAGGCCTTTTGAAAGAAGGGAGCTGATGACTTCACGACCAGCTCCTGGAGCCCCTCCTTTCTGCTGAAGCCGCGGCATTTCCCTCCGTGGCCACACGAGGGCACCCTTGGCCCTTTTATCAAAGCGCCTTCACTTCCCCGTGGGAATGGAGACAAGTCTGTCCACGGTGTTTTCTTGAAATACCCAGTTGCTACCCAGATTTGTATTTTTATGTAAACAAATACATTTTCACAGAAATAAAATTTGAAAAATAAAAGTAGAAAGAGAAAAAAACACTAGCCATGGTCTCTTTACCTGGTATAATCCCTTTCGACTTTTTAATGTTTTTTTAATGGTCCCAGCTGACTGTTTTTTCTGTTCTTTCCAGCTGTCCTTCTACTCTAGAATATATCCAGGTTGGGCCAGTCCTTTGGATCCAGTTTTTCTTGATATCTAGTTAATGAAGATACTGGAGGGGAAATGCTGAGTGATCTTCAAACAGTAACTTTCCAAAAGCCAGGAGTAATACCAAGATCTCCAAGAAAGCAGCTGGGTTCAGAAGGCCGGGTGCGGTGGCTCACGCCTGTCATCCCAGCACTTTGGGAGGCAGAGGCAGGCAGATCACAAGGTCAGGAGTTCAAGACCAGCCTGACCAACATGGTGAAACCCTGTTTCTACTAAAAATACAAAAATGAGCTGGGCGTGGTGGTGCATGCCTGTAATCCCAGCTACTCAGGAGGCTGAGGTAGGAGAATCGCTTGAACCCGGGAGGCAGAGGTTGCAGTGAGCCAAGATCGTGCCACTGCACTCCAGCCCAGGCAACAGAGTAAGACTCAGTCTCAAAAAAAAAAAAAAAAAAAAAAAAAAAAAGCAGCTGGGTTCAGTGTTCTGTTGTTGACCCTTGTTTGGGGTTCCTCTGGTTGGCTGGCTACCATGCATGTCGTGTGTTGCTTATATCAGAAGGTGAGGGTTCTGTGTGGTGTAGATGCTGTCGGTTAGCCGGCCTTGCTTCTCACAAGGGGCGTTTCTGGGGAGAACGCTGGGGTCTGTGTGGGCTCAAGGAGGATCCCGTCTCCCCTTATGTTTCTGGTACAGGATCAGATGTGGCCGCCCAGCAGTTGTGCACATAGGAGGAGAAGGGGCCAGGTGGGAAAAGTAAGTCAAGAGCCCTCTGGAAGAAGGAGCATTTCAAAGGTGCAGCAGGTTTATGGCGATAGAGGGGGTCCCCTCAGGAAAGGGTCACGGCCTTTTTAGGGAAGTTGGTGCACAGGAGACTTGGTTTGCTGAATGGGCACTAACCTCGGTAAAACCCAGAAGAGGCTGAATAGAATGAACTGACTCCTGCCTCCTGCGGGCAGCACTGATGTGTCGAACCTCTCTAGTAATCCCGAGTACGCGGCTCTCGGTATGAGTGCCAGCGCAGTATCAGAGGCCCGGACGGCGCCTGCCCCACTGATGATGGGCATCACACGTGCCCCGGCGTTCCTGCTCTGTTCTGTGACATTCACATGCTCTGCTGTGGCTCAGCCAAATGACTAAAACAGCGGTTGGTGTTTTAAATTCCTGGTTGGAGCAGCTAATGCTGCCTGGTGGAGGCTGTGCTTTGTACTCCACGGACTGTGTTGTGACTACAGAACGCCCTTGCCCCTCGAGGTGCCCTTTGAGATGTAGCCTGTCTGCCGGTCTCAATCCAAGCAGAAGCGTGGGTTTCCTTAGGGAAGAGGAAGATTGTGGGTGCTTCCCTCACAGGGGAACTGAAAGGAGAAGGGGTAGAGGAAAAGTACAGTCGGACTTGGCAGAACTGGCTCGCAAATGGTGCTCTGAGAGGGCCAGGCAGGTGTAAACCCAAGACTCTTTTCCACCCACCCTAGGGGAGCAAGAGGCAGGAAAGAGCACAGACTTCGACGTTCAGACCTGGGTTCCCGTCCAGTTCCATTCCTTGCACAGGGTAAGTCCGTTTACTAAGCCTTGTCTTCCTCGTGCCACAGATGAGGAATTGTCGCTTCACATTTAGAGCAGTGCTTAAGTGCAAGAAGGACTGAAATCTCAGCAGAGGGTGGAAACACTTGCTCCTCTTCCGATTCTTTGAATTGTCCATTTCCATTCAGAAAACCTTCTACCAGTAGACTCAGATGAAAAGGCTGAGACCTCACGTGTATGTCTGTAGGTGTAAAGTACCACCGTTGACAAAGAGCAAAACCCATACTTGATGTGATGGAGGGAGGACTGGGGGCCAATATTGATGGTCCACCTTCCACACACACTGTCTCATTTAGTAACCCCGTCAGCCTGTGTGACGTTCCTAGGTGGTGGCTGAAGGAAAGGGAAGCTCAGAGAGTGTCAGTGACTTGCTGTAAGGTTATCCACGGAGCTCAGTCATAGAAATGGGATTCGAACTCAGGTCCAAGAAGCCAAGACTGGGATCTTGTGCCGGAACTCAAAAGTCTATAGCAAGTGCCGCACTTCATGTGGAAATGTACTTCCAGGCTCGTCTGACCCACCTCTAGGGAGGGGGCTGCAGTGATACAACACGGGGAAGGAAAAAAGCATCTTTCACCCTCACAGTTTAGCACTTCAAGGTAATATTATTTTCCAGCCTATGATGAACGAGTGACATGTAGTCAGTGGAATTACTTAGAATTCTTCATTTATGCTACCAAATCTTCACGGAACTTTGTATTTGGCAGTAGTGCAGATAATTAAGTAGTTAGTGAAAGCGCAAAATAAAATATCTAGTGAAAGTACATGTTGGGGCCAGATGCAGTGGCTCACGCCTGTAATCCCAGCACTTTGGGAGGCCGAGGCGGGTGGATCACCTGAGGTCAGGAGTTTGAGACCAGCCTGGCCAACATGGTGAAACCCGTCTCTACTAAAAATACAAAAATTAGCCGGGCGTGGTGGCTCACACCTGTAATCCCAGCTACTCGGGAGGCTGAGGCAGGAGAATCGCTTGAACCCGGGTGGCGGAGGTTGCAGTGAGCCGAGATCGCGCCACTGTGCTCCAGCCTGGGGGACAGAATGAGAAAAAAAAATTATGCTACCAAATCTTCACAGAACTTTGTATTTGGCAGTAGTGCAGGTAATTATGTAGTTAGTGAAAGCGCAAAATAAAATGTCTAGTTAAAGTACATGTTGGACCAGAATCAATAGGAAATAACTGATTATTAGGTGAATTATTCTTTGGCAATACATAATTGTATAATGAAAGAGAGGTTTAATTATTTTTTTAAAATAAGGCAGCTCCAGATATTTCACTTACAGAACAACACAAAACTGATGTGCTTTTTGAGCTTCCTGGAGAAGGTAGCAATTGCCAGAAAAACAGCCAGGCCTCCTCCCCGGGCAGGGTGTGTGAACTAGTATCAGTCTGGGAAGAGGAAAGGCTGCCTGCCATCTGGTGGACCCATTCAGGGAATGTGGCCCCAGAATCTAAAAACCAGAGCCAGGAAGTTCCCAGCTGGGGCACTTGGCTGGCTCGAGGAGCCAGTCAGGCCCCAGGGAAATGGCAGCTTGTGCTGCTGCTGTCCAGAGAGAGAATGAGAATGTGGCCCAGAGGGCACTGCTGAGCAGGCCCCCTCCTGGGACACTGGTGAGCAGGGGCCTGTGCCCAGAGACTGGCCATTTGGAAACTGTGTCTCCTGCTGGGAAAAGGGGAGTCCCTGTCTGGTCTGACACAGGATCCTTACTTCACACATATTTGTCCCAGATTCCTGCCTTCAAGGCCAAATGTGGGCTTGTTTGTTTTGAGACAGAATTTCACTCTTGTTGCCCAGGCTGGAGTGCAAAGGCGTGATCTCAGCTCACTGCAACCTCTGCCGGGGTTCAAGCGATTCTCCTGCCTCAGTCTCCCCAAGTAGCTGGGACTACAGGCACCTGCCACAATGCCTGGCTAATTTTTTGTATTTTTAGTAGAAGACGGGGTTTCACCATGTTGCCCAGGCTGGTCTTGAACTCCCAACCTCAGGTTATCCACCTGCCTCGGCCTCCCAGAGTGCTGGGATTCCAGGCGTGAGCCACCGCACACGGCTGCCCAGATGTGGGTTTATTTGGGGGCTTTATGGAGCAAACTCTGGCCATATTCAGTGAGAGCTCTGGACTAGCAAAGATGAGGACTTCTTCGTTCTCAAAGGAAACATCTCAGCCAGGTGCAGCGGCTCAGCCTGGAATCCCAGCACTTCTGGAGGCCGAGGAGGGCGGATCACCTGAGGTCAGGAGTTCGAGACCAGCCTGGCCAACATGGCAAAACCCCGTCTCTACTAAAAATACAAAAATTAGCTGGGTGTGGTGGCGCATGCCTGTAATCCCAGCTACTTGGAAGGCCGAGGCAGGAGAATCGCTTGAACCCGGGAGGCGGAGGTTGCAGTGAGCCAAGATAGCACCACTGCACTCCAGCCTAGGTGACACAGCGAGACTCTGTCTCAAAATAATAATAATAAATCTAAAAATAAAAATATAGTGGAGTGGCTTGTGTTCAGCTCCCCCTGGTTATTGCTGTGCTGAAATAGGTGCCCAGTGTTGCTGGATCTTCTGATGTTTTGAGGGAAGCCAGAAATCCAGATTTATGAGAAATTTGCTTAATTGTGAACCCTGACAATTAATTATTTTATTAAAAATGTAAACCAGCTGGGCATGGTGGCGCAAGCCTATAATCCTAGCACCTTTGGGAGGCTGAGGTTGGTGGACTGCTTGAGGCCAGGAGTTCGAGACCAGCCTGGGCAACATGGCAAAACCCCATCTCTATGAAAAATACAAAACATTAGCTGGGTGTGATGGTGCGCACTTGTAGTTCCAGCTACTTGGGGGAGCTGAGGCGGGAGGATTGCTTGAGCCCAGAGAGGTCAAGGCTAGAGTGAGCCGAGATCGTACTGCTACATTCCAACCCGGGTAACAAAGTAAGACCTTGTCTCAAATAAAAAAAAGAAAAAAACAATTTGCGGTAAACCGTTTGTCAGTGACCACTTCTGCCACCAGGAGTAGAACTGCCTGTGTCTTCCTGCCTCCACGACCCTCTCACTGGAGCTACTGGTCGGCTTGCTGCCTGTTTCCCTGTTTTAGGGTCCTTCCCACCTCTTAAGGGAGGAGTCCGAAGGAGTCTACCCATGGGCCTGCTTGCTCTTTCTCCCACTGCTGGCTGACCTCATCCACGCCAGTTTCTTCAACCACTCCTCATACATTCATTGTGCCCAGATCCAGACCCATCCTGAACTTCCAGCATCCTCATTCCTCACCCGCCGGCCCATGGCCGTGTGAAACTCCTCTGATTGTCTGCACCTGCTTCTCCTGTTGCCTTGCTCACCATCCACCCAGCTCTCCAGAGGACAAATCTCTGTTCTTCCCCCTCCTTTCCCACCAGGTGTAAAGTCTTCCACTAAATCCCACCAATTCCACCTTAGAAACCTCTCCCCAGTCCAGCCCGATAGAGCTCTGTAATGGCCTCAGCGAGTTCCGGGGAGCTTCAGAGTAAAGAAGTAGAAAGAGTAGATTTAGGTATTTTGGGCAGAGAACAAGATGAAATCTGCTTTGTTTGGGGAGTGAACTGGAAGCTTTCAAAAGAAAGAGTAGAATGGGAAATAGATCCCACAGGCAGGGGAGTTGGTTGAGATCAAGAGATGCGAGATCCCAAAAAATGGGAGGCCCTTTCTGATACAGGACAGGCCAGCATTTTCCCCCTTTGATAATTTCCAGGTTTTGTTGTTGTTGTTGTGTTGTTTTGAGACGGGGTCTCGCTCTGTCGCCAGGCTGGAGTGCAATGGCACTATTTCGGCTCACCGCAACCTCTGTCTTCCAGGTTCAAGCGATTCTCCTGCCTCAGCCTCCCAAGTAGCTAGGACTACAGGCGCACGCCACCACACCCAGCTAATTTTTGAATTTTTGGTAGAGTCGGGGTTTTACCATGTTGGGCAGGATGGTCTCGATCTCCTGACCTCGTGATCCGCCCACCTCGGCCTCCCAAAGTGTTGGGATTACAGGCGTGAGCCACTGTGCCCAGCCAGGTTTTTTTAATTCTTAGTCCGACAATTTTATTTTATTTTATTTTATTTTATTTATTTATTTTTGAGACGAGTCTTGCTCTGTCGCACAGGCTGGAGTGCAGTGGCGCGATCTTGGCTCACTGCAAGCCCCGCCTCCCAGGTTCACGCCATTCTCCTGCCTCAGCCTCCCGAGTAGCTGGGACTACAGGCGCCCGCCACCACACCCGACTAATTTTTTGTATTTTTAGTAGAGACAGGGTTTCACCGTGTTAGCCAGGATGGTCTCGATCTCCTGACCTCATGATCCACCCTCCTCGGCCTCCCAAAGTGCTGGGATTACAGGCGTGAGCTACCGTGCCCGGCAATTTTATTTTTAAAAAGCAGGACAGGCCGGATGCAGTGGCTCATGCCTGTAATCCCAGCACTTTGGGAGGCTGAGGCGGGCGGATCGCCTGAGGTTGGGAGTTTGAGACCAGCCTGACCAACATGGAGAAACCCCATCTCTACTAAAAATACAATATTAGCCGGGCATGGTGCGTCATGCCTGTAATCTCAGCCAACTTGGGAGGCTGAGGCAGGAGACTCGCCTGAACCAAGAGGCAGAGGCTACGGTGAGCCGAGATCACGCCATTGCACTCCAGCCTGGGCAACAAGAGTGAAACTCCGTCTCAAAAAAAAAAAAAGCAGTACATTTTCATTATAAAAAATTTAGAAATGCTGGGCACTGTGGCTCACACCTTTAATCTTAGCACTTTGGGAGGCTGAGGTGGATGGATCGCTTGACCTCAGGAGTTCAAGACCAGCCTGGGTAACATGGCGAAATACCATCTCTACAAAAAATAAAAAAATTAGTCGGGTGTGGTGGTGCACGCCTGTAGTCCCAGATACTCAGGAGGCTGAGGTAGGAGGATCACTTGAGCCAGGGAGGTCAAGGCTGCAGTGAGCTGTGAGCACACCACTGCACTCCAGCCTGGGCGACAGAGTGAGACCCTGTCTGAGAAAAATTTTAGAAAATATTGAATAACACTAGAATTCTACTATTCAAATCAAATTATTTTACATTTTGTTGTCTATTTTATATGCATATTTTTTACATAGAAATTATGGATCATATGGTATCTTAGTGTTTTATAATCTTTTTCATTTAGTAATATAACTTTTTTCTTATTATAAAGTTAACATGTTTCAGAAAACTTGTACAAATAAAAATTAGTGGTAACCACACTGCCCAGCGACAAGCCCTGCTAATAGTAGCAACCCTGTTTTCCTCACATGCTGTCAGTATTGTGAGCATTGCTTCAGCTAGCCGTTACTAGTCGGAAATTTGGATTTTCTGGTTTTCACTTTCCTTTTTCTTTTCTTTTTTTTTTTTTTTTTTTTTTTTTTTTTTTTTTTTTTTTTTGAGACAGAGTCTCGCTCTGTCGCCCGGGCTGGAGTGCAGTGGCGCGATCTCGGCTCACTGCAAGCTCCGCCTCCCGGGTTCACGCCATTCTCCTGCCTCAGCCTCCCGAGTAGCTGGGACTACAGGCGCCCGCCACCACGCCCGACTAATTTTTTGTATTTTGTTTAGTAGAGACGGGGTTTCACCGTGTTAGCCAGGATGGTCTCGATCTCCTGACCTCGTGATCCGCCCGCCTCGGCCTCCCAAAGTGCTGGGATTACAGGTGTGAGCCACTGCGCTTGGCCCCATTGTGATTTTTTTTTCCCTGAGATGGAGTCTCGCTCTGTCGCCCAGGATGGAGTGCAGTGGTGTGATCTCGGCTCACTGCAACCTCCGCCTCCTGGGTTCAAGTGATTCTCCTGCCTCAGCCTCCTGAGTAGCTGGGAGTACAGGTGCATGCCACCACGCCCGGCTAATTTTTGTATTTTTAGTAGCGACGGGGTTTCACCGTGTTAGCCAGGATGGTCTCGATCTCCTGACCTCGTGATCCGCCCACCTCGGCCTCCCAAAGTGCTGGGATTACAAGCGTGAGCCACTGTGCCCGGCCTTTTTTTTTTTTTTTTTTTTTTTTTTTTTTTTTTTTGAGGCAGAGTCTTGCTCTTTCTCCCCATACCCCCCAGCCCCGCCCCAGGCTGGAGTGCGGTGGTGCAATCTCGGCTCACTGCAACCTCCGCCTCCCGGGTTCAAGCAATTCTCGTGCCTCTGCCTCCAGAGTAGCTGGGATTACACGCATGTACCACCACACCCGGGTACTTTTTTGTATTTTTAGTAGACACAGGGGTTTCACCATGTTGCCCAGGCTGGTCTCGAACTCCCAACCTCACGTGATCCGCCCGCCTCGGCCTCCCAGAGTGCTAGGATTACAGGCATGAGCCACTGTGCCCGGCCCCTTTTTCTTTTCTTTAGTGATGATTTTGTTTTATTTTTATAGCTTTTAGAGGTAATCAAATCTATCACACTGTGCTTTTATATTTTCTTTGTTTGCCTTTATGGGTAGAAACTCCTTCACCACCCTAGAGCTGAAAAATGTTTTCCTATATTTTATTATGGCTATTTTAGTTTTATTTTTTACATTTAGCATTTGAATTTACATTGCTGTATGGTGTGAAGTTTAAGGACCTGTCTTTTACCAGTGGTTCAGCATTATTTCAGACTAACTCATCAGAGAGGGCGCTGGGAAGCTCTAGCACTCCCCACTGAGGTGTCCCTGATGGCACAGGGAGTGGAGCAGGCTGGGCAGCAGTGGTGTGTCCTTTCCCAGTGGGCCCTGGGGCCTTGGGGAGAGATCTCATAGTGCACCTGGAGCTGAGCCCTGGCTCTGTGGTATCTGCTCTGGGCTGTGCAGCCAGTGACCGGCCACTGCTCTCGGCCTTGCCTCCAGAGAGAGCCTCATTCCTGGCATAGGCTGCTGATCTCTTGGGCTTTCAAGACTTGATGCTACAGCCTTGCATTTGGGTGTGAACTGGGGCTGCTGGGATATAGACCTTAGTCCTTTGTGTGGGGCACTGATCACATTGCAGCCCGTCGGTCCTGGGAGGTTTCTTCCCTATCACCATGTCCCCACCCCTGCGTGATCCAGCGGACTCTTGACTCCCATGGCAAGACTCCACCCGGCTTTACTCATAACTTCTGCCCAGTCCCACTCCCTTGACCTGAATTAGTTTTGCTGTCATAAAGCCACCTCTTTTTTCCTTTAAAGGAATCCCTGACATCGTCATCCGTCTCCTGTGCCTTTCCGCTGGGTCAGCCTCCTCCCACCAAGCTTCTGACCCACTGTCATCCGCAGCTGCCACTCTAGCTGCAGAGCTCGACTGGGCTCTGGTTTCTCAGAAGAGCTCAGAGGACCTGGCTCCTCCCTCTTTGCTTCTGAACTGCATTTCTTTCCTTATTACTCAGTGTCCACACCCACGGTGGCTGCCTGGATAAAAATCTGCCCCTTTCTCCCGTCACCTTTCATGCCAGACAAAAGCCCCAGTGAGTAATGGTGACCTACCCAGGTCCAGCTAGCAGCTCTCCATTCCTGAGTGGCCTGGGGCAGAACAGGGTCCTGCGAGCTCCTGGATCCCAAGTCTGATTCCCTTTCCCTGTCTTCCCGCTTATCTGCTAAGCTTGTTTATTGGGGACCACTAAGCAAAGTGAATGATTATTCCTGTCTTTAACGAGGAGGGGTGGAGTTCCCTCTCCATCTTCACCCACTTCTGGGAGGCTTTCAGGGACTCAACACCCCACACTGATAGCACTTCCCCAGGCCTGGCCCAGCCAGCCAAAGAGGAGGACCAGGCCACTTCTCAACCTAGCTGATGCTTGGCAGCTTTGTGACCTTGGATACACCTTCTCTTGGGAGGTCAGACCCCATGATCCCAGCTCTTCCAGCTATGACATCATGTGAGGCTGCAATTTTTTTTTTTTTTTTTTTGAGACAGTATCTTGCTATGTTGCCCAGGCTGGCCTTGAAATCCTGGGCTCAGGCGATTCTCCTGTCTCAGCCTCCCACGTAGCTGGAACTTAGGGCGTGAGCCACCGCGCCCAGCTTCTGGAAAGGACATGAATGGGGAGGTGGAACTTGATTGGACCTGTTCTGTGAGTTCAGGAGAGGTCCTCTGACAACTCACTTGGGGTGGGGAAAGGAGGTAAAGAGTCCTGTGGAAACTTTTGGCTGTGGGGACCCCATTTCACTGATGATTGAATGGGTCCACCTCTGTCAAAGGAATTCAGAGTCCCACTCATCATTCAGACTGGGGGAATCAGGCTCAGTTGACTGGCCCAGCCTTAAATCCACTGAATTTGTTTTTATCTCTACATAGAAAAACGGAATTACAGTTGCTTCTCACTGTCCAATGGGGATTGGTTCCTGGAGCCTCCCTGAATACCTGTCCATGGATGATGCTCAAATCCCTTACATGTAACCTATGCACATCCTCAGGTATCCTTTAACTCATCTCTGCGCTACTCAAATACCTCATACCATGTAAATGCTGTGTAAATAGTTCTTGTGCTGTGTTGGTTTTTAAATTTGTATTATTTTTTCTTGTATATTTTCCATTTTTTTTTCCTGAATATTTTTGATCCACGGTTAGTTGCCTCCATGGGTGCGGACCCACGGACACGGAGGCTGCACCTTCTGAAATGAGCATGGCGGCGCCCTCTGGGTCCTCGTGTCGTCCTGTCTCTGGTGCTGCATCCAGCACGGTGGCGAACAGCAGAACTAATCTTTTGCAAGTTATCACAGTGGAGTGGAGTTCCGCTCTGTTTGCTTTTGCCCCGCTCTGGCTTACCAGAGGTCCCCTGGCCTTGGCCACAGCATACCTAGCCTAGTGCTTGGCACCTCAGGCACACAATAAATATTTATGAAATGGATCTTCTCTGGTATGTCTTGAGTGTACTAGTCTTCTGTTTTTTCCTCTTCATCCTGCAGCCAGCTTCCTCCCATGGGTCTTGTTTTAATGATGGTATGTGAAAAGCTCCTTAGCTGCTTGCAAAAGATGAGACATCAGGCTTGAAGGGTTGGGATTTCCTGTGAACATCTGTACTTTCGGCTTCACGCCCTTTCCCCCATCTCATGACTCAGGCTTTGTAGGAGTCAGGGCACTGATTTTCATAGCTCTTGGAGTTGATACTTTGTTAGGTGAGTGGTGGGGGATAGGAAGACAGTTCCACTAAGGGGATGTCTCTGGCTCAGCATATTAAAAAATTGGGGAATTGGTGCTTCTTATTGTGGTTGGTGAAAAAAAGAATAAAAGATTAAAAAATTGGAGGACATAATGGAATTTGAACTGGGAGGTGGGGTGCACAAGACTCGGGGAGGAAGACTGAAAACGGAAACCCTCTCGTGAGAAACTCACAATGATGGACAGCCCAGCTTTTCTCCTGCTCCAAGGTACTAAGCACCCAGAAGCCATGAAGAAACTTAAGGAACAGCCGGGCGCGGTGGCTCACGCCTGTCATCCCAGCCCTTTGGGAGGCCAAGACAGGCAGATCACTTGAGGTCAGGAGTTTGAGACCAGCCTGGCCAACATGGTGAAACCCCGTCTCTACTAAAAATACAAAAATTAGCCGGGCGTGGTGGTGCGTGCTTGTAATCCCAGCTACTCCGGAGGCTGAGGCAGGAGAATCACTTGAACCTGGGAGGCAGAAGTTGCAGTGAGCCAAGATCACACCACTGCACTCCAGCCTGGGCAACAGAGGGAGACTCTATCTCAAAAAAGAAAAAAAGAAAAAGAAACTTAAGGAACACCTTTTTAGAGATTGCTGGCCTTTGGATAATTCCCCAAACCTGCTAACCTTTCTGCTGAAACCAAAAGGACTTATTTCTCTTTCTCTTGAGTGAGTACATTTGCCAGCTTCTATCCTGGCTCCACCCCCTTGGAACAGGAAGCTGGGGCTAAAATATTAAACAGCCCTCCTATTCATTCCCCTCTTCTTTCATGCCCTCACATCGCCATTTATAGGTATCTCCCACCCCCACTGTCCATTCCTCAACTGGGGAAAGCTTGGTTGATGAGGTATTGTTTTTGGCCATTTTCAGGCTCCTGTAGGCAACAATAGGTCCAGAAACAGCCTCCCCCACCCTTTTTTTTTTTTTTTTTTTTTTTTTTTGGAGACGGAGTCTCTCTCTGTGGCCCAGGCTGGAGTGCAGTGGTGTCATCTCAGCTCACTGCAACCTCCACCTCCCGGGTTCAAGTGACTCTCCTGCCTTAACCACCCCCAGTAGCTGGGATTACAGGCGCCTGCCACCACGCCCAGCTAATTTTCTTTTTTCTTCCTTTTTTTTTTTTTTTTTTTAGTAGAGACAGGGTTTCACCACACCACGTTGGCCAGGATTGTCTCGAACTCCGGACCTCAAGTGATCCATGCACCTCGGCCTCCCAAAGTGCTGGGATTACAGGCGTGAGCCACCGCTCCTGGCCTGCAGCCTCCCTTCTAAACCCTTGTTTTTGTCTAACATCCCCTGGCTGCTGTCCCCACATGACCCAAATAAACAGATGATCATGTGAAGCCAGTAAGGCTGTTTGTTTTAAATAGCAAACATCTCCACTAAGCTCTGGAGCAGATGGAGTATTGGGGGCAATGGAGAGGCTGGCATTCAAATCTGTGTTCACTCTACTCTTACCTTCTGCTTCCTCACCCCTGAAGCGAACAGTGTCTTAAGAACACTGCCTTTCAGAGAGGTGCCTACTTACTGGTATAGAGTTGGCCAGTGACAAAGAAGAGTGTAAAAAATTAAACCTCAGCCTTCAGCAGAAACTCCAGGGCTGTATGAGTGCATGGCCACCTGAGGAGAGCAGGAAGGGACAGCTGGATGGAGCACTGTGCACCACGGTGCTGACCCCACACAAAATAAGAACTTGCCCAAAAGCATTAACTCAGGTCACAATCATGTATAGATGCAGCTCCACTTAGGACGGGTTTCACCAGCCATAATCCCATCCTAAATTGAGCGCATGCTAGATTATCACTTTTACAACCATTGCAAACTTGGAAAGTCCTGTGTCAAACCATCACAAGTCAGGGACTGTCTGTATACTGTTGAGAGTCCCTGTTCCACTGCCGCCTATATATTATATTGCCTTTGAATTTTCCATTTTCTCTAGTTGTGCAGAATGGGCCAGGCCCAACCATACTGGTGGCAAGTGGCAGACACCTTAAAGGAAGCAATGTTGGAGCCAGCACAGATCTGGCCCTCCCAGCAAAGGGGCACTCATCCCATGGAGAAGAACTGGGCTGTTCCGTTCTAATCCGCCTTTGCTCCAGCTTCATCATAAGCAAAATCAGTGGTACCTACCTGGACATTTGTGTGTGTGGCGACTTCTGCATGCTCAGCTCTAGATGCTGGGGCATTAAATGTGAAAAGATCAGAGGCCTCTGTAGACTAGTACTGGCAAACAGCCCCCTTCCTCTGGTTCACGAAGTTCTTGATTTCCAGGATCTGTGCAGATTTTTCCCCCCTAGGATGCATGACGATGCCCTCAAAGGAAAGGAGTAAAGCCAGCAAACATTTTGCCTGCTTTCTATGTTTCTAGCTGTCTTCCAACCAGTCCCTAAAATAGGAACGCTCCGAGGGTGCCATGTGATGGAATGTATTGGCAGGGCGGCCTGCCTCTCAGCCTCATGAAGGTTTGCTTTCTGGTTGTGTGTGATGTTGAAGCCGCGGCTGAGGAGTTCTAAACCCACTGGCACTGACTGCCCCCCCACTTCTTGGACCGGTTAGCAAAGAATGGAGCCTGGGGCCAGAACTGAGGGGTACTCCCCCTGCACTGGCACAGCACAATCGACATGCTCCGGGACGCTCCAAATAAGCTTTCAGCCGCCTGGGGTCTATCGCTGCCGCTGTACCAGTGGGGTTCGTGTGGCTTCCACCGAGGAAGCAGAACAGCGGAGTTGGGTCTCAGGTGAAGATTTTTGTTGCCCCAATCACAGTGTGTTAAGTGGTCAGGGTTGCTATTCCTCCCTGGCATTTTTCTAATTGGGGGCCCTCCTCCAGAACTGGCTTCAGAGTCGTCCCTGGGGTCAGGGAAGAGTGCCCCCGCTTCGGGAGAGAGGAGCAGGTGGAATACGGAACGACCTTAGGCGAGTCCTTGGCCGTCACGGCCTCAGTTTCCTTATGTGTGAAGTGAGAGGATTTAAGGGCAGCCGGCCTCAAAGAGCTAACTCTCCGATTGCACCCGAGCTCCCCTAAACACTCGAGCCCGGAAGACGCGGGCGGGCGGGCGGGCGACGGGGGGTCCCTCCCTCTGGGGAGCGCGGTTCCAGCCGGCCGCAGCGGACCCCGCCCCCGCGCCCCGCCCACCGCCGGTCGCCAGGCGCGGGGAGGGCCGGGCTTCCGCCCTCCACGTTGTTGTTCCCGATTTGGGCCACGCCCCCCGGTCTGGGCTGCGGGCGCTTCGTGTTCCCCGCCCTGGCCCCGGCCCCAGAGGAAAGGGTGGCCCATGGGGTGGCACAGTCCGTATCTCCACCCACATCGAATACGCGTGGACAAAGACTGGAGTTCAGGGGAAGGAAAGATAAAGGCCTGGTTTTAAATGGAAGGTGGTGAAAAGGAATGGAGAGGCCAGGGCACGACTGCGGGATTCCCCTTACGGCATCCCACCCTGGGTTCGCCCAGTGGCCCCATCCGCACCCGCGAATGTGACCTGCAGACACTGGCCCTTTAAACCGAAGGCTGGCGGCGCGGGGTGTCCATGTGGAGCTGCTCCATGCCGTGTTGTCCTGCCCGCCCATTGGCTCGCGGCCCGGTGACGTCCCCTAATAGGATGCGAACGCACTGCGGGGGGAGGAACGGAGACAAAACGCGGAGCCGGACTGCCGCTCCGCTCCCTCCGCTGGTTCTCTTGACAGTCTCCAGTCGCCGGCAGCTCCGCCCAGGGGCGGATCCCGGGGGAATTGCGACAGCCCGGCGATTGCGGGATTTAGGTCGCGAGTGGGTGGAGCGTGGAGACCCAGGGTCAGGCCAGTCTCTGCCATTCCCAAGGTTTCCCTGACCCGGAATATCCTGGTTGGAACTCTGTTAAATCTTGAATTGTTCACCCTACCCTCCCTCCAGCAGGACAGATTTCGTCGTGAACGACCCAAACGCACCGCCCCGGCCCAACTTGTGGCTTGCAGCCGGGGCGGGGCCAGCAGGAAAGCGGAACCGCGGCGCGCACACCCCGCTCGGACCTCTCCCTCCCTGCCCGGGCCACGTGTGCGCGCGCCGGATCCGGGGGGCGGGGCCAGCAGCGCAGGACCCGCCCCTCCCTTCGCGAGACGCCGCGGCCCTGCGGGCGGGGGCTCCGGTCCGGGCTTTGGCTGTGGCCCCGGTGTAGTAGCGGGGGCGGCGGCCGGGGGCAGCGCGGCTCCTTCCCTTGTTGTGTGTGTCGGTGCCTCCTCGCCATCTTGTTGCAAAGCCCTTTCTTGTCGGCGGGACTCCCGGGGGCCGCGGGGCGGGAGGCATCGGAAGGGAGGTAGAGAGGGAGGGGAAGAAGGGAGGCAGTGCCGCCTTTTTTTTTTTTTTGCATCCCATTTTTTTAAATTTGCAATTTTATATTTTGCAAATATTTTGAGAGACATTGATTTTTCTCCCCGTGCTCCCCCGTTCTTCCCTGCGGAGTGCGCTGCGCCGCCCAGCCCTGTCGCCCCCCGGAGGTGATCCCTCCCTCCTGCCTGCCCGCCAGCCTGACCTGTGCCCGGCTCGCGGGCCGCAGCCTCGGCCCCGGCGCGCCCCCGGCAGCTCTCGGCGCGATGAGCATAGAGACGCTACTGGAGGCGGCCCGCTTCCTGGAATGGCAAGCGCAGCAACAACAGAGAGCACGTGGTGAGCGGCCGGGCTGGGCCCCTGGGGCACTGGGGAAGGGGAAGCGAGTGACCCCGGTCCCCGAACCCACGCGAAACCGCGGACAGGGCCCCCTCCCGGGCGGCCTGCGGAGCCTGGCAGCGCACGGCTCCCCGCGAGAGCCGCCGCCTGGGGAGGGGTGATGTGGGCAGTGAAATTAATTAATGAATTCATTAACATGCTGCGAGGGACCTGGCTCCTGCGGGCGCCACCCCGGCTGCGTGGCACCCCTGTGCCCCTTCTGTGGTGGGCTGCTTTTGCGTGGGCCAGCGGAGCCCTCGGTGGCACTGAGGATGTGTGAGCCGGGGGGTGGGGTGAGGAATGGTGTTGCGTGGGGGTGGCAGGCTCGCGTGTGCGTGCGTGTGTGCACGGGGGATGTGTGATGTGAGCCTCGGGAAGAGCAGATGAACGGACGTGTACACGGGCGTGTGTATAGCACACGAGTGGGCGTGTGTGTAACGGAGTGGGGGTGGGGACTACTCTACGCGGAGCAGCTCTTCGGCTTCCCTGGCCCCGTGGGGAGGGTGCGGGGGGCGCTCCCGGCAGATCTACGCGCCGCTTGGGGCGGAGGCGGCCTTTGCAGAATGAAATGACATCGCGTGTCTTATGATCCTGGCCAGCCCCGCCTGACCCCGCCTCCCAGAGCTGGGCTGGGCTGCGCGTCCGGGGTTTGGGTGAAAGCCGGGCTAATTGGGCGTTTGCGAAATGGCCCGCGGGTCGCTGGGGGTCAGCCCCCGGGCCCCCCTCGCTGCGCCCCGCTTTAGCCAGTGTGGAATGTGGCGTGTCTGCGCGTTCCAAACCCGCTCTCGCCTGGAATGTTGCGTGTGCCTGCGTTCCGAGCCCGTTGGTTACACCGGGTGGTGACGTGGACGGGCTCCGCCCCCGACCACGTGCACCGGGGACACTCCTGCTGGGGACGGCGCGGCCCGGCCCCTCCTCACCGCCTCGCGCTCGGCCGGGGGCGGGGCCTGGGCGGGGCTGGCAAGGGGCCTTGCGCTGGGTTGGGCCTGGGCCCGGGCCCCGGCCTCTGGGCACCTCCCAGGGAGAGCCTTTGCCCTGCGAGGGAGGAGCCGAGCTCACCTGTCGGCTCTGGCCCCTAACCTCCTGTGTTTGATCCCGAGGCAAGGGAAACCCTCAGAATCGCAGGGCGACGAGACATTTAGAGCTCACATTTTTCCACTGACCCCCAAAACGTTCCAACTATGCCCCCTGGCATCAGCCGGGGCCACGCTGGAATGAGCCAGGATGAGAAAGGGCAAACTTCGGCGCTCCCTCGAAAGGGAAGAGACTAATGACTCCTATCTTCACGCGCCCTGTTGGTGGTCCCTGGCTTCAGGGTGCTGCAGAGGGGCTGGCGGGAAAGACCTCCCTTTTCCAGGGTGCTGCCAGGGCCTCGGCTCTGGAACGGTGTGTGTGCAGGACCCGGGGACTCCTGTGCCCTCCCCGCCCCCCAGAATCCCCCGGCAGGGTTGGTTGTGTTGGAGAGTGCTTCGCCCTCCTTTCCTTTCTCTCTGCCTATTGTTGCTTCAATGATGAGTCATGCAGGAGGTAGTAGTGTGTTGTGTGCGCGCGCGCCGCCGTGTGCCGCCGCCGCGGCGGGCGGGGGTGGGGGAAGGGGGGAGCGGCAGCGGGCAAGGGGCGGGGGAGCTGCGGGGCCGGCGGCCTAGTCGGGGCGACCGGCCTCTCAAGGTCAAGAGTCACTGGAGATATGTGAGGCTCAGATGCCTGGGTTTTGCAGAAGTGATGGGCGGGGACATCGCCCACACTCCCCGGCTGTTGCCTTGATGGTCCAGAGCAGGGTCTGGCAGTGGAGAGTGCCCCTGGTGACCAAGAATGTCCTACGTTTGGGCACAGGGGTCAGGGGAAGACCGTGCACAAGGTTCGGAGAGATTAAGTCACCTGCTGCCGCCATCAACACGTTGCAGTTCGAGTACGCACTGTGTTTAGGCCGAGTTCAGCGGCCTGGTCACGACTTCTGTGTGCCGGTCAGAGGTCTTTGTAGATGAGTGGGTGCGGAAAGCTAGATCTACTCAAAAACTCATGTACGGGTGTCCGGAACCGATCCCAGCAGTTTCTCCTCCAGAATTCATTTTCTTCTCCCTCTTGAGGTTCTGTCCTCTGAGCTGGGGCAGGACGAATGGAAGGAAGGGCATGGCAGGTGAACCTGCTGACCAGAACGCTTTCCCGGGACCTAGGACCAGCTCTGGACAGGGATCCTCTTGTCCTTTCTCCCTTTCAACCGCAAGCATGGGTTTCTGACCTAGACCAGCCAGTTTGCTCACATGAGGACCCCGCAGATGTGTGTGCCTGTGAGAGAGAGGGGAAAGGGCAGAGCTATCCTGGTGCCCAGACGGAAGGCCTGGCCTGGTCATTTCTAGTGTTCATAGAGGTGGCTCAGATGCAACTCTTCTGCCTTGTTTCGAGGGAGTTGGTTGGAGTGTCCAGAGGCTCCTGACCAACTCTCCAAGGCTTACCCTGGGCCTGCCTTAGGCACCAAGCCTCCTGTTTAGCGTGCAGATGGGAGAATTCCTGTGGCTGCTGGGGCCCACCAGTGTGGACTCCTCCACCCCTAGCCCTGTGCCTGCAGAGCACCTGGGCCACAGTCACTTGGGAAGGTTGAAGGGAGCACGCTGGCTCTGCTCTTGACTGTGGGCGGAAGCCTTGGCCCCTGGGTCACTGCAGAGGGGCATGCTAAATTCTTTGGGGGCAGCCTCTGGGTGGAGCCCAGGGAAGCATGTGAGGGGGCGCACCCTGTCTGGTGGATGTGCAGAACATTCTTTTAAAGAGCCTAAGCGCAGGGTGCTCCTGAGGGAGCACCAGCCACCACCAGTTTGGTGGTTCTCCAGTGCACAGGGAGAGGGTTGCCGCTGGGTGGGAAGGGACAGGAAGCTCCGGTGGGCTGGATCTGGCCAGGGGCAGCTCCTCTTCCTCACCACCTGTGGAGCTTTTTCATGCTGCTCCAGGTGTAACTGGGTCCTTCCTGGCACCTGTGAGGTGTACCGGCGTGGTTCTGGGTGAGAGAGGGCAGGTGAGAAGGAGGTTGCTACCTCCCAGGTGAGCTTTGGGATTGCTTTAAAATATGGGGAATGGGGGTTGGCTTGCACTCTAGGGTCCCACATGTCCTTGTGACTCAGGGAGGGCCCTGATTGTTCCTCTGCCTATAAAGAGTGGAGTCCATGTCTCAAGGCCAATGAAAAGTTAGGTCTGTGTCAGCCAAAGGAATGGAGGCAGGGTCTGTGTTAGGCCCTGGGATCCAGAGCCTTGTCTTGGGGTAGGGGAAGGGGCTGGGGACAACTGAGGCTGTGCCCGACTGAGAAGGGCCCTGTCACTGGAACTCAGCAGGCTGCTTGGCCACTGCGGTCTGTGGGAAGCGGGAGCGCAGGGCTGGTTTTCTCCCGGGCGTAACCTAAGGCCTCCCCGCACTGGAGCAGGCCTGCACCGGCCTGGCATCGCCCCTTCCCGAAGGGCTAGGGAGATCTGGAAGAGGCCCGCTGGCTGGCCCAGCCCCTGAACTCCGGCTGCTGGGAAACCACTGAGGCTTCCCCTCCCAGGACGCTTCCCCCTCCGCTTCCTCCTCGGCCTCTTCCCTCTGCAGGAGGGCGGGGCTGGGAGCAGGCCTGGCTCACACTCCAGTTGTTGATTGGCCAAAGGGCCTGAGGCCTCAGGTTTTCTGGGGCGCCTGAGCCAGTAAGAGTGTGGGAGGTGGGTGCTCTCCTCCCCAGGGGGCCTTAGCCGACTCCAGTCCCCCACGCCACCCCTTGCCCGGGTGTTTGGGGCGTGTCCACGAGCCCGGGCTGTCTGCTGCGTTCGTCAGCGGAGCGGGGCGGGCGTCCGGGGTCAGAGGAGAGGGCTGCTTGTCCCGGCGGCTCCCTGGCCTGGAGTCTGCAGACTCCAAGGGCCTGGGCCAGCCCCGTAGCCAGGGAACCAGAATGGTGGCGCCTGGGAGAGGACGAGGCAAGCGGGAGATGGAGGTGCCTCCCCTTCCCCTGTTGGCAGCCAGCTCCTGAGTGGGCCTTGCCTTCCTGCTGGGCTTTCAGCAGGGATGCTGAGCGGGTGGTGGGGTGCACTGCCCTGCTCAGCCCCCATTGAAGAGCCCAGCCCCTTCTTGTTTGGGAGAAATGGTCGCTGCTGTACCTCCTCCTCCTCAACTGCCCTCTCTCACCCAGAACCAGGCAGGTGCACTTTCCCCGGTGCCTGGCTGGAGTGGTTGGGTATTTGTATTGTCTCAGGCTGAGCGGGGTGTCACTGAGGATGTCAGAGGATGCTTTAGGCCTGAAGGACAGGACATGCTGGCGCTGCTGCTGGTGGTGGGGATGTTGGGGATTTGGGGAAAATGAGTTATAACACGAGAAGGGTCAGAGAGGGACGAAGTGTGTTTGTTGAATGGTCCCTGAGGAAAACAGGCATTGGGACCTAGCCTCGGAGTCAAGAGTGCTGGGCTGTTTCCACATGTGTGAAATGAGGGTGATGTCCCTGTCCTGCCCATGATGTGACGTGGGGCTCTTGTGAGGATCCAGGGACTGTCAGCACTTCCTTGTGAGCACGGCAAGCGTCCTCCAGGGGTCAGGAGGCTTGCTGTGGGACCTGCAGCGAATCACTTTGCTCCCTGAGCTTCACTGACTTCATCTGTGCCATGCAGGCACTGCCTGCCCTCTAGAAAGTGCTTGGTAAACATTGTTAAAGGCCTTCCACGGAAGCTGGGATCTGTCAGCACACCCCCCCCTCTGGTGTGAAGTCTTGGGTGGCTGGGCCTCTGCCCGCCTCTCCCACCTCGGCCCTGTGGTCCCCTGACCCTCGCTGCCCTCACCCGCCTTCCTCCTCACCCTGCAGGCTGGCAGGTGGCCTGCAGCACCCTCTGACAGCTCTGCTCCACCTTTCCAGGGCCGCCTGTCCTGCCCGCAGCCCGGACTGTCAGCCCCCGTGACTGTCAGCCCCCGTGACTGTCCTACTATTCCCTGGTGGCGGGGAACAGGTCTGCTTGATTTGTTCACTGCTGTGCCCCCGGCACTTTCCCCCGTGCCTGGCTGGGCTGGTAGGCTATTTGTGGTGTCTCTCGCTGAGCAGGGGTGTCACTGAGTACTGACTGGGCTAGGGTCAGAGGACGAGTTAGGGCTGGAGTTCTGGGGCCCCGCTGAGACCCTCCCCCCCTTGTGTTCTCTCTGTGTAGAGGAGCAGGAGCGGCTTCGCTTGGAGCAGGAGCGAGAGCAGGAACAGAAGAAGGCCAATAGCCTGGCCAGGCTGGCACATACCCTTCCTGTGGAGGAACCCCGCATGGAGGCGCCACCCCTGCCTCTGTCTCCACCGGCTCCCCCGCCGGCACCCCCACCACCACTTGCCACCCCTGCCCCACTGACTGTCATCCCTATCCCTGTGGTGACCAACTCCCCTCAGCCTCTACCCCCACCCCCACCCTTGCCCGCGGCAGCCCAGCCTCTGCCCCTGGCGCCTCGTCAGCCGGCCCTGGTTGGCGCCCCCGGACTCAGCATTAAGGAGCCTGCCCCCCTGCCCAGCAGGCCGCAGGTGCCCACCCCTGCTCCCCTACTGCCGGACTCGAAGGCCACCATTCCACCCAATGGCAGCCCCAAGCCTTTGCAGCCCCTCCCCACGCCTGTCCTGACCATAGCGCCACACCCTGGAGTCCAGCCTCAGCTGGCCCCCCAGCAGCCGCCCCCACCCACGCTGGGGACCCTGAAGTTGGCACCAGCTGAAGAAGTCAAATCCAGTGAACAGAAGAAGAGGCCCGGGGGGTGAGTGGGGTGTGGCGGGGTCGGGCTGGTGGGGGATAGGAGAGGTGCCCATCCCCCGGGCTGTGTGCAAGACAAGGTGCCCTCCCCAGCTTAGAAGTGCCCCCTGTATTTGAACACGTCATCACTGTGCCCATGTCTATCCTGGGAAGGAATGTCCCATTGCCCCCCGTTCCCAGGCTTCTGTGTTTCCTAACGCAGTCCAAGGCTGAGGCTTATGGCATTCCCAGGCCTCTGGACAGAGTATGGGCCTCTTGGGTGAGGGCTGGGGTCAACCGGCTGCCTCTGAGTCCCAGGAGTCCTCCTGTCTCCCTCCTGGTGGGACGGAGGGTGACAGGAGTTGTGATTATGAGCACAGATGTGTCCTCCAGGGGGTGGGCGCAGCATGGCACAGGGCGAACGTCTCCCAGTCTGCTTTAAGACAGTGTTGGGGACAAACAGCCTGTGGCAATTTTGCGGGTGGCGGCGCTGGTCAGGAAGGCCGTCTAATCGAGTCCTCCTCCCTGAGCCTCCTATCTGTCTGGGTTTCAGGATCGGAACCAGAGAAGTCCACAACAAATTGGAGAAGAACAGGTGTGTGTGTGTGTGTGTGTGTGTGTGCGTGCGTGCGTGCGCGCGCGACCCGGGCCCCGGCGGCCCTCGGCCCCAGCTTCCCCGGTCCTGCCTCCCCCCGTCCCAGCCCCGCCCCAGGCACCGCTGACCGGCGCTCGCCCCTCTCTTCAGGAGGGCCCATCTGAAAGAGTGCTTTGAGACCCTGAAGCGGAACATCCCCAACGTGGATGACAAGAAGACGTCCAATCTGAGCGTGCTGCGGACGGCGCTGCGGTACATCCAGGTATGGGGCCCGGAGGCCGGCGTCGCGCAGCTTCCCCCGCCCTCCCTCCGCCGCCCCTCCCCCGGCCGCGCCCCGCCCCGCCCTCACGCCCCGGCGGCTCCCCCGCGCCTCCCTCCCACCTCCACGCGGGCGCTGAGCACATGGCCCGGCTGACGTCAGCGGGGCTCCCTGCCCGGGAGGGCGCGCGTGCGCAGAGGAGGGCGCGGCTCCCCTCCCGCGCCGCTCCCGAGCCCCTGCAGCCTCGGCGTCCCCGGGGCCGTGAGGCGCGCGCCGTGACGCCTGGTGCGAGTCCCGATGGCGGCTCCCGTTCGCGCGTGTTGGTGCAGCCGCGGGAGGGAAGGGCATGGGGCGGCCCGGCGCCTCCTCCCCGGCCGCAGAGCCTGGGCGGGAGCCCAGATTCCGCCCGAATGTCTGTAGCTATCTGCGGGGAGGGTTGGGCGTGGTCCCCGTCCACGCTGCGGCGCGGGCCGAGCCCCGTTTACCCCAAAGGAGGAAGGTCTTTTCGGAGCGCGCGTGGAGGCGCCACGGCCCGAGTGTGGGGTTACGCCTGGGGCGGGGAAAACTCCGATTTGACTGGGCGGCAAACAGCCCCGGGGCCGCCGAGCCTGAAACACGTCACGCTTTCCTTCCTCCTGGGCTAGGAAGAGGGGGTGTCTCTTTTTTCGGGGCCCTCCCGGCTGCGCGTCCCCTCCCTTTGGGCGTCGCTCCCTCTGCAGTGCTCGGGCCGGGGGCGCCGCCACGTCAGGCGGTTGCCATGGCGGCCTGAGCTTCGGTTTCCCTGGAAACCGGCGGGGCTTCCGCGCGCCGGGCCGGAGGCTGTGGGGGATGGGCCGGCAGCCGCGGAGACGCGGAGCCGTAGGGGATGGAGGGACGTGGGGCTCCCAGCCCGCGTTGGGGGGGGGGTGGGCGGCGAGCCGGGACTCTCCCTGTCCATCCTCTGAGGAAGCTCCGGGGGCGGCGCGGCGTCACGGGCCCCGTGGGAGGGGTGGCGAGGAGGGTCCAGCGCGCGAGGAGCCAGCCGCTGGGCGCCGCCCCTCCCCCGGCCTCGACCGCGGGGTCACAGCCCTGAGGTAACCGGAGCCTGACTTGCTGAGGGAGGGGCTGAGGCGCTGCTTCGCGACTGCTCCAGGGGGGCAGCTCTCTCCCAGCCTCCCGCCAACGCGCCCTTCCGCCCGCCCTCCCGGCCAGGGGGCGGGGCTGGCGCGCCTCCAGGCCGCTTCCGGGCAGCCGGGAGGGGCGGGGCCGGGCTCGCGGATTGGCTGCAGCGGGCGGGGGCGGTGCTCTCGAGTCGCGGAGGGCGGTGCAGCCGGCGAGGGTGACGCAGGGAAGCCGCGGCCGCGTGGGTGCGCGCGTGCTTCGGGGTGGGGCCTCGGGGCGCCGAGCGGGAGAGGGCTCCGGAGGCCGCGGCAGGCCGGTGGCTTATTTCTGGAATCGTTTTGCAGAACCTGGGCTTGGTTGTAGTTTAGTCGCAGGGCTGGCTGAGGGTGTTCATGCAGACACTTCGCTGCACTCCCGACATTTGCTTAGCTATTATTTTTGAGAAATAGGAAGGACGGCATGGCGAGTTCCTCTTTGCAGATACTACTTGCAGAGGGCGCCTTGCGTAACGTGTGGGTTTGGAAATGAATCGGAAGAAGACTCAGCAGCAGCCGCAGAAGGAAGCTCTTGAGGAGCTGGGCCCGGTGAAGTAGGAGCCGGGGTAGGCCTCACTCAGGCTGTGCAGAAGGGACACCCATTCTGGTGCTGGTCACAGAAGCAGGAACCTCAAAGGCCTGTCTACAAACCATTTATTCATTTATTCATTGAGGTGCTTTTAGCGAAGTCTCTGCTTCTGGGCGAATGGTGGCGAGCAAGTAAAAAAGCCTGGGTCTTGTGGCAGATGACGAACAAGTCATTCTACAGAAGGCGGCCGTATGGGCATAATAGGGACCGGGCGGCGGGATCTGTTCTGGGGAGGGAGGATAGCTGTTCCTGAGGAAAGGACCTTTGAGCTGAGACCTGCAGGATAAGTCTGGGTGGCACGGAGCAAAGTGGAGGCCAAGAGCCCAGGGGCAGCCCAGTTTCTCCAGCAGGAGGGAACAGGATGCTTTTTGGAAATAAAAGTGAGGCACGGTGGCTTGCACCTGAGTCCCAGCTACGCTACTCGGGAGGCCAAGGCAGTAAGAGCGCTTGAGCCCAGGGAGTTCGAGGACAGCCTGGGCCACAGAGTGCGACCTCCGTCTCTAAGAACAAACACAAACATGGTCAGGAGGCTGTCACTCAGAGACAGGCAGAATCAAGAGCTGGTCCTGGAGAGACCAGTGGGGCTGTGTAGACTGGGAGCTTTGGTTGTTTGCTGAGAGCAGGAAGCTGCAGGAAGAAGGCAGTGGTCCCCAGCCAGAATACGGAGTGGCTTGGAGGTGGTCAAAGGTTTGAAGACAGCCACAGTAAAGTGGACAGAGACAAGAAAAATAGGTACCAAACCGTGCATCCAGGTAGTCACAGAAAGGAAATGGGTTTAGATTGAAGCAATGTGGGTTAAAGTTAGACCCTGGGGAAACCTTGCAGGGGTCTGTAGGCCTGTGAAGAACTGGACTAGGTGAGAAGAAGAAGCTTTTGACCCATGTCACTCCCTGGCCCAGAACTATATCCTACCCACAGGTGGGTTGAGTTCAGGACTGCTGCTTCCAGCCCCCAGCAGCAAGGTTCAAGTGAGAGCTGACTCACCTAGGGCCCCTTGTTAGAGCCTCAGAGCCAGGTGAAAAGCCACACACAGGCTGGGCGCGATGGCTCACGCCTGTAATCCCAGCACTTTGGGAGGCCGAGGCAGGTGGATCACCTGAGGTCAGGAGTTCAAGACCATCCTGGCCAACATGGCAAAATCCCGTCTCTACTAAAAATACAAAAATTAGTCCTGCCTGGTGGCACATGCCTGTAGTCCCAGCTACTCGGGAGGCTGAGGCAGGAGAATCGCTTGAACCCGGGAGGCGGAGGTTGCAGTGAGCCGAGATCATGCCACTGCACTCCAGCCTGGGTGACAGAGCGGGACTCTGTCTCCAAAAAAAGAAAAGCCACACAGGTGTGTGTGTAGGGGCAAGGGAGTTTCCTACTGTCTTCCTAGCAGAAAATGGGGAGAAACTGTTAAAGCCAGAATGAGGGAGGGCTGTGTGTGGCCTGGGACTGGCAACAGAAGTGTCAAGCTGCCAGGTTTCAGGCCAGTACAGAGCACGGTTCTACCTGGGTTATGTGTTGCCGGCACTAATGGTTAGAGACATCTGTCACTGGTGAGGGCAGAAATGTATGCAGGAGTGGGTGTGGGAAGCTGGCCTCACTGGTGGGTGGGGTTGGAGACTTTGCCAGGCCTGGTCAGGAAAAGCTGCTACAAAACAGCAAAACTGCTCCTAGTGCAGCGATCCCCAACCTTTTTGGCAACAGGGAGTATTTTCCTGGAAGACCATTTTTCCATGGAGAGGGAGGGCGGGGCTGGTTTCGGGATGGAAGTGTTCCATCTCCCATCATCAGGCATTAGTCAAACTCTCCTAAGGAGCACACAAAACCTACACTCCTGGTGTGCACAGTTCACAGGAGGGCTTCTGCTTCTGTGAGAACCAAATGTCCCACTGATGTGACAGGATCAGAGCGCCATCGCTGCTCACTTCCTGCATGCGGCCCTGTTCCTGACAGGCCACGGACCAGTACCTGGGGTTTGGGGTCCCCCGCCCTAGGGGATGAAAGAAGGGAAACCTGGGTCTAATGGGTTACTGTGATTCTCCCTGCGATGCAGGGAAGAGACAGGACAGAGGTGGGAAGGAACATGGTCACCAGGAGTCGGGACAGCACTCTTCCAGGTCCTTCCCCTGGGGCTGAGTAAGCACCCTGCGCGTAGCTCTTCCTGGCCGCCTGTGGGCTCTGGGATCTAAACGGACTATGCAGCCATTCTCACTTTCATTCACAGCTCGGACAGGGACAGTGTGTGTTGAGGCGGAAAGACAAAACATGTATGTGAGAGACTTTGTATGAGCCGGTTCCTGATGAAGTCCTATCTTTCAGCCTCGTATTTACTGCCCAGGCAGATGGGGCTCTTTTCTTCACCCTCCCGCTTTTTTTTTTTGAGACAGAAAACTTAATAGAAATTTTGTTTGCAGTTCTTACATTCTCAGTGTGAGCCAATCTGTGACCCACCGCCCCACCCAGAAGTGGCCCAGTCCTGGTGCAGGGTAGGAAGGGAAGGGTGGAGTGAGAAGAGCCCCATTTTTCCTCAGTGCCAGGGGGCTGGAGACACCACCCCCTTCTCCTGCCTCTGGGCTCCAGGAAGGAGTGCAGATGGACTCTCAGGCCTATGGTTCCTCCTCCACACCACTGTCCCCCAGGTTGGAGGGGAGTGAGAGATACAGGGAGAGAAGGGGACAGAGGCAAGAAAAGGTGTTGATCAAGAAAGGCAAGAACCAGGGGTGAGGGCTGACAGAGAATCAAAGATAAAACACTAGTAGGCCGGGCGCGGTGGCTCATGCCTGTAATCCCAGCACTTTCGGAAGCCAAGGCGGGCAGATCACCTGAGGTCGGGAATTCGAGACCAGCCTGACCAACATGGAGAAACCCTGTCTCTACTACAAATATAAAATTAGCCGGGTGTGGTGGCACATGCCTGTAATCCCAGCTGCTCAGGAGGCTGAGGCAGGAGAATCGCTTGAACCTGGGAGGCAGAGATTGCAGTGAGCCAAGATCATGCCACTGCACTCCAGCCTGGGCAACAAGAGCGAAACTCTGTTGGAAAAAAACAAACAGTAAAAAAAAAAAATTGAGGGAGAGTGGGGGAGGGGAATATAACCAAAACCCACCCCAAATCCAAACCAGCCTCGAAAAAAACGGTGCGGTGCCTGGAAGGGCTTGGAGGCAGGAGGATGTGGCAGACAGAAGGACAGTGGGGGAGGTAGGGGCTGAGATGTGGTCTTGGAGCACGGGCAGATAAGATCTAGGGGGTAAAGGGAGGAGGATCTGTGTGTGATGAGGGCAGACGGGGTTCAGAGAGGAAAACCAAGGCGGGCTGGTGAGTTGTGTGTGTGAAAAGCCTGCGGGCCCTGCACCTGGACATGACCAGTAAGCCTGGGAAGCTAGGAGCTCGAGAGCAGGCCAAGAAAGGGACTCGGGAGGCAGCAAGGACACGTGTCGGCGTTGCCTGGTGGACACATTGGTCATGACGTGCCTGGGCGAAAAGCTGCCAGCAGGGAGGTCTGTGAGACTTGAAAGGGTGGGATTGATGAAGTGTCGGGTTGGAGCACGGGAAAGACTGAGTGTGGAGGGGAGCTGGGTCATGGGACGCAACAGCCATTTCTCATGGATCGGTTTAGCCCAAGTACAGGGGGCACGTTCCTAGGCTTGGGGGTTGTTCAGCCCAGGGAGTCTGGAGGGGAGTGGGCAGGGTGATGGGGAGCAGCATGTAAATGGAGCCTCGTCGAGAAGCGTCACAGGCGGGCACAGTGGAGAGTCGCCTAGGGGGTCGGGGAGCAGGTGCAGACCAGCAGCCAGGAGGGAGGCGAGTCCTGGAGATGAGATGGGGCGAGGGCGTGTCACTGCCTAGTGGCTCATCGTGCAAGGATGTTGATGTTACCAGGGAGACAAGTGAACGGTGAGGTGGAAGCGCAGGATCAGGTTCCTTAGAGGGTAGCTCGCGGCAGAAGTGTGCAAAGTGAAGAGGCTGCTGGAGGAGGGATGGGGCGAGAGGCGGAGAAGCCCCTGAGGATGAATTGTGGAGGACAGGGAAGGACCTGCACACCTGGTTGAGCTTGCTTCAGTGGTGCCTGTCCCAAGAGCCCACACTCCTTGGGACGCTGGGCCTCACTGGGCAGGGGCATGGACCACAACAGGTGCGGTCTCCAGCAGCCCCCGTCAGGCTGGGCCCGCTGGTTGCCACGGACTTGCCTCTGTGGGCCAGCTGATAGGGAGAGGTTTGTGGGGGCTTTGGGCCCCAAGGCTGCTGCTCAGGGTGTCCTGCTGTCCCTTACTCTGTGTGCCAGTCCCTGAAGAGGAAGGAGAAGGAATATGAGCATGAAATGGAGCGGCTGGCACGTGAGAAGATTGCCACGCAGCAGCGGCTGGCAGAGCTCAAGCACGAGCTGAGCCAGTGGATGGACGTACTGGAGATTGACCGCGTGCTGCGGCAGACGGGCCAGCCCGAGGATGACCAGGCCTCCACCTCCACCGCCTCTGGTGAGCCCCAGCCCCCACGCTGGCCCCCCAGCCCTCAGATGTTACACCTCAAATTCCAGCCTCCCTGGCCAGGCTCTTTCTTGCCTGCTAGAAAAGATGGCCCTGGCCCCAGCCCCATCACATTCCCACGCCCCCACGAGCATCTACGCCTCCAGCCACTTGCTTCCCCGCCCTTCTGACCTGCTCCCTGCCCCATGTTCCCCACAGAGGGTGAGGACAACATAGACGAGGATATGGAGGAGGACCGGGCGGGCCTGGGCCCACCTAAGCTGAGCCATCGTCCCCAGCCGGAGCTGCTGAAGTCCACCCTGCCACCCCCCAGCACCACCCCTGCGCCTCTGCCTCCACACCCACACCCTCACCCCCACTCCGTGGCCCTACCTCCTGCCCACCTCCCCGTGCAGCAGCAGCAGCCACAGCAGAAGACCCCTCTGCCAGCCCCTCCTCCCCCACCGGCTGCCCCTGCCCAGACACTGGTGCCAGCTCCAGCCCATCTGGTGGCGACGGCTGGGGGTGGCTCCACGGTCATCGCCCACACAGCCACCACTCACGCTTCAGTCATCCAGACTGTGAACCACGTTCTGCAGGGGCCAGGCGGCAAGCACATCGCCCACATCGCCCCCTCGGCCCCCAGCCCTGCGGTGCAACTGGCGCCTGCCACACCCCCCATTGGGCACATCACTGTGCACCCTGCCACCCTCAACCATGTGGCCCACCTGGGCTCCCAGCTGCCCTTGTACCCGCAGCCCGTGGCAGTGAGCCACATCGCCCACACCCTCTCGCACCAGCAAGTCAACGGCACGGCCGGCCTGGGGCCCCCGGCTACTGTCATGGCAAAGCCGGCCGTGGGGGCTCAGGTGGTGCACCACCCCCAGCTGGTGGGCCAGACCGTGCTCAACCCTGTGACCATGGTCACCATGCCCTCCTTCCCAGTCAGCACACTCAAGCTGGCTTGAGGACGAGGCCACTCAGAGGCCCCCAGTGGGGACAGGGAGGGGGACCTGTCCCCCACTCTCTCACCCACCAGCTCCACACATTCCAGCCAGGCCCAGGCCAGCCCCCCCACCCACCCCCAGGCCTCCTAGGGGAAGGGGGTGCAAAGACTCTGAGCCAAGGGAGGGAAGGGCCACCCTGCTGCACTAGGACTTGGTAAGATGACTCTGAGAAAATGCGAGACTCTGATGGAATGTGCCACCTGTCCGGCCCAGTGCCAGCTCCAGTGCCGCTCCTGCTTCCCCTCCCTACCCTCGGAAATCAGTGCGATGTGGACGTCACGCTCCCTGACTTCTCCCCCGCCCTGCCCCGCCTTCGTGTGCTGCTGCTGCTATTGCTGTCTGGTGAGGTGGCCCAGGCCCCCGGCTTTCCTCCGGAGCCTCATGTTCTCTTCCCAGGCCTTTGGAGGGGAAATGGGGAAAGCAGAACTGAAGCCACTTGGCCCAGAAAGCTGCGGATTGGGGTGATAAGGGGCCTTGCTCTGAGCACAGGTGACAGATCATAGGAAGTGGCTGGTCTGGAGTCCCACCCGGACAGGTGGGGCCTCAGCCTGGGGCTCTCTGACCCGGTTGCAGTCACTGTGATTCGTTACCGTAGATACTACTTAAAATGATTCTCTACCAACAATAAACCAAACCCAGCCACTGCCAAGCTTCCTGTGCCCTCACCCCAATCCCTGCCACTGGGCTCTGGACCTCAGGAGGGCAGGCTGAGGTGGGGAAGGAGGGACTTGGCTGTCCTTCCCCTTCCCCGTCCCCTGCAGCCTGGGTCTGGATGGGAGGAGAGCCACTGGGCCCCTGTCCCCAGTCCCCAGTCCCCAGCCCTGGGCTTGGCTCTTGGCTTCCAGAAGGCAGCAAAGAGGGGCGCTGTCCTGCGTTCAGCCCCTGATCTCTGACCTCTGCTGAGTGCTGGGCACTGCTCCAAGGGACAGGTGGGCCTGGCGGCCTGTGGGTTTGGGTGCCTCCTGCAGTTTGGGAGACATGGACCAGCATCTGGTCTTGTTTCCAGGAGCATAGAAGCCACATCGTTGAGACATCAGGAAGGTAAAAACCCAGCGGCTTAGCCAAGCCCTAAGCCTGTCCCCAGACCAACCCTGGGACCTATACAGAACAGAGGGCCAGAGCTAGGGCTGCTGCTTCTGCTCCAGCCCCTTTGCCTCTGTCCTCCCATCCCCTCAACACCCTGCTTCTCCCGGGGACGCTTTTGAGTGGGCCCTGCCCGGGGAGCTGCAGAGCAGCAGCACCTTTCTCTGAGAAGAGGTCCTTGGTTGGGTCAAGGACAGGGCTGAGCGTGGAAGGGGGAGGAGTCAGGGGCTCTGTGTTAGGATGCGGCTTTCTCTGCCTCTGGGCAGCCTGCTTTGGCCTTTCCTTGTATGTGGGTGTTTATTACAAGTGGCTTTGTGTCAGACACGCTCGGCTCCCCACCTGGACACACACTCACCAGTGGCCTTTCAGTGTAGCGGGAGGAAGCCGGTGTCCCTGGATGTGAAGCTCACACTGATGGGCTGGGGCAGGGGCCTGGGCCGGCGAGGGGGCCGGGGGGAGGGGACAGAGCTGAGGATTTCCTGGAGTGCCCTGCAGGCACAGAGGAGGTCAGCAAAGGTCTTGAATAGATTTTCTCTGGAAATAAAGAATCCTTAGATGCCTAAAAATTCCCTTCCTGTTCCCTCCTGGTCCTGGACACCTCCCAGGGGACTGTTCCTTATTTCTCTCTCCTGGTGTGGGTAAAGGGACAGTTACAAACCAGGTCACCATCCTCAGAGGCTGAGCCCTGTACCCACCCCAGCACAGCCACCTCCGCCAGACCCCGTGGCTCTGGGAGAGCCAGCTTTGCTATTCCCATTGTGACAGCGATGGCAGGCCTGACCCACGGGGCAGTTAGAGCAGCCTCGTGGAGCTCGCCCCTCCCCTCAGCCTGCCCACCTCTCCCTGCATCCTGAGGCCAGTGGCCCCCGGGCCTGCACAGATACCTCATCATCCACCCGCTGCCCCTCCCCGTCCCTGTCCCCCAGCATCGGGGGCCTGCAAATCTAGTGCCGAATGACTATGTCCAGATTGGTGACGATGGGTGTTGCTGTTTTTCTTGTCGTTTGTGAACGCTGTGATGCTGTGTGCCCAAGTGGGCAGTCACCACCCAGCCCTTCCTTGGGCGTCTCCCCCAGAGTGCTGTCGGGACCACATCTGTCCTCACCCTGTGGGACCGCCTGGCCCTCCCTCCCTAGCCCTTCCAGCCTGGGACACACACACACACACACACACACACACACGCACGCACACGCACACATCTTACCTCTCATGCGTGTTTTACCTTTTGATGTTCAGAGTGGCTCACTGGCTGGGAGTCCTTACCTCGGGGAGAGGGGGAGGTTGGTTCCTTGGGGGGCCAAAGAAGGCAGGGAATGCCTGGAGGGTAACTGGGGGGCCACCATGACCCCTTCTCTCTCCAGAAACAGCTGCTTCTCCCCCCATCCCAGGGTCCCACCCCCAACCCCCAGAGGTGGCCCTTGTTTACAGTGAGGACTCGGCCACTGTGTCTCTGTTTCCTGAAATATAAACTGTAGCGACCCCAGACTGTAGAGATTTTTATGTGTTTGGATACATCTGCTGTGTGGAAAAAAAAAAAAACTACAAAAACCCTAATTTTGTACATACTGTATTTTTACTATTGAACTGTATTCTAGTGGCTGTTCATGCTCCAAGACTTTAGTTACCGAGACATGAATACTATCCATGTAATAAGCACTTGCCTGGAATAAAATATAAAACTGAAATAAACCTGCACTGAAACCTGAGATGGAGCTGCCAGCCTGCAGCATCTGGGTCATTTTATTGCAAAAGGAGGCTGAGGCCTGTAGGGAAGCATGTGGCAGGAGCGGTGAGATCACCTGTCTCGACCCTGTCTGCCCAGCATAGTCCTCAAGCGGCTCTGACCCGGTGCCTCCGCCGCTCTGAAAATGGCAGTTCTGGTCGGTCTGAAACTTTTGCAAAGCTTCGTATTTCCTCAGACCATTTTACAAGCATTATCTTGTTTCATCTTTCAACAGCCAAGTGAAGTAAATAAGCCAGACTTAGCCCCATTTTGGCAGATAAGGAAACAGGATTGAGGTGGCCCAGTGACTTGTTGAGGCCACACGGCTAGCTGGAGACTTCGTTGGAGCTGCAGTCAGACCTCTGAACTGGGTACAGAGTTCTTACCCAGCATCTGCCACCCTTGTGGCACCTGGGGCCAGTCCTAGACTCGGATCCAATAAAAAAGGTACAGGGGAGTTGCCCCAGGGATTGGGCACAGAGGGTGAGAGCTTCCTGAGGGGCTGCTCTGGGGGTGCAGTTACAACAGGTCAGCCGGGGAGTCCATAAAGCTGTCCTCTAAGGGAAAGGAACAAGGGGAAGAAGAGGCTGGAGGTCAGGGGCAAAGAGCCGTGTTCTCAGCTGGGCTGGAAGCCCCTTGTCCCTGTGGCTGTGTCTTCTCTCCCTGGGCAGGCTGTCATGGGAGGAGGTGGTGTGGGAAGTGAGGTCAGGGAGCCACTAGCTAGGCCTTGCTGGAGACCAGGCTGGGCAAGGGGGCCCAGCTTCTCATTTCCACCCTGACAGTACCTGACTGACTCCCAGTCCCCACAGGGGAGACTGACTCTGCGTCTCTTCCTGAGGTGGGGTGGGTAGGGGTTATCCTTGAGGAAGGGAGTGCTGTCTTGGGTCCTGTTTTCTGAAAGAGAAGAGTTGACTTCAAAAAGTTCAGGCCGGGCACGGTGGCACACGCCTGTAATCCCAGCACTTCGGGAGGCTTAGGTGGGCAGATCACCTGAGGTCTGGAGTTCGAGACCAGCCTGGCCAACATGGCAAAAACCCTTCTCTACTAAAAATACAAAAATGAGCCGGGCATGGTGGTGCATGCCTATGATCCCAGCTACTCAGGAGGCTGAGGCAGGAGAATCACTTGAACCCGGGGGGTGGAGGCTGCAGTGAGCCGAGATTGCGCCACTGCACTCCAGCCTGGGAGACAGAGCGAGACTCTGTCTCAAAAAAAATTTTTTTAATTAAAATGAAAGTTCGGAATCCAGCCCTCCCTACTGAGCCTGCCCTTTTTACTTGTGAGACGCGGGCTCCCTCTGCTGGTAGCTCCTGGAAGAGCTGGGTCACTTCCATTAGCTCACTAAGCGACGCTTTAGGGAAGGGATAGGGTGAGGGTTAACCCTTCCTGGGTGCATGCTCAGTGCCAGGCCCTGTGCCCACTGGGAACACAGATGAAGACCCTCCCCAGGCAGTGATAACTTGGCTGTCATCTGAGGGCTGTCACTAAATCTTTAGGCAGAAGCTGTACTCAAAGCTCCCCCTCACCCACAGTTCTCACTCACCCATGGCTCAGCTGGAGCTTATAAGAAAGGGGCCTGTGGTCAGGATAAAGTATGAATCCAGGTGCTTCCATTTACCAGCTCCTGCTCTGTAAGAGGAAGACCTGACTTTCCAGATTGCAAAGGTTCCTTGAGATGGTGTTTGGAGAGCCCACTGTGCTGCTTGCTCTTCCCGCCCCAGCTGTCCCATCGTTTTGAAAAGCTGTGGGATCCCCTCTGGTCCCAGGATCCCAGTCCAGTAGTCAGGGGGAGTAGGGCAGGACGGAAGTGTGTGAAGGGTTACTCCCAGGCTAGGTGAAATTTCCTTTAGGTGGTCACAGCAAAGGAATTCTGACTCCTCCAGGCAACAGAGTCGGCTGGCGGGTCGGGGGTGTTCCCCTGAAGGGCTCATCAAGTTCCCTGGCCCCAGAGCTCTCTCTGCACCAACTGGTTTCTTTGGGTAGCTCTGGCCACTAGTTTGCACTCTTTCCTAAAAGCTGGGTTCAGGGCCAGATGCAGTGGCTCAAGCCTGTAATCCCAGCACTTCGGGAGGCCAAGTGGGTGGACTGCTTGAGGCCAGAGTTCAAGACTAGCCTGAGCAACAGTGAGCCTCTGCCTCTACCAAAAAGATAGAAAAACTGCCATGATGGGGGCCTGCATCCCTGGCTACTTGGGAGGCTGAGTTGGGAGGATCGCTTGAGCCTAGGAGTTCAAGGCTGCAGTGAGCCATGATCATACCATTGCACTCCATTCTGGGAGAGATAGCAAGACTCTGTGTCTGTCTATCTGTCTGTCTCTCTCTCTGTATAATAAAGCTGGGTTCAGCCTGCTAGGACCATGGGCTGGGGTCTTCAGCTTTGAGTGAGTGGAAAACAGGCCCTAATGTCCAGGAAGCCAGTGTCCTCTAGGGTAGAAGACATGTTGTGTGACTGGTGTCTTCTCCCTGGAGCCATCGACGATGGGACCAGTAGCACTCGGGTTGGGGAAGGGCAGGAAGAGAGGTGCAGACCCGTTACAGCTGGGCCTGTCTATAGCTCAGCAGGGTCTGACTCCTCCTGACACTCCCCTCCGGCCTCTCAGACAGTGCTCGGGGTGAGAGCCACACCCACAGGGGCAGCTCCGTTGCCATCAGCTGCAGTGGCATAGTCAAGCTCCAGCTTCTCATTGCAGCCTGGTCAGTAGGGCAGGCAGGGGGTAGGGATGGGACAGGGACCTTCTCTCATCCACAGGCTAGAGGGGCCACTGGTCATCGTGAGATGGGGCCATGACTCTGGGGTGAGGTCCCCTCAAGGGCGCTGAGTACTTGAGGTTTGGCTATCAAATCACCCTGACTTCCTGACCAGCCCACACCCTCCAGACTGGCGGCTGGAGTACCTCTCTTGGAAACTTTAGTTTTTTGCCGTCCTCGCCTTTTGGGGCTGGCCGACTGTGGAGCTTAAAGAAGGCACGTGGTCTCTCAGTGTCCAGTCCCAGAGGCTCCAGTGTTGACAAATGTTGTTTATTGGTCTGTTACACAGAAGAGTATAGTTTCTGAGGCAAAAATCATACACACTCTGCTCCTCACAAAACCACGGAGTCACTAAGGCAGGCACACAATGGCCACACGTGCTTGGTGGAGGCCAAGGACTCACGGACAACAAGGATGGACAATGGGGTGGTCTGGCCCCCAGACAGGCTGTGCAGTGCCCGGGGGCAGGGCTGGGCTGGGCAGGCTGTGCTGGGTGCAGAAGGGCTGCGGGGCCCTTTGTCATGTTTCTCAAATGCAGAAAGTCTGCCAGACTTTGGTGGCTGCTGGACTAGGCCCCAGCCCCGGGCAGGGCCTCCATGTTCCAGGGCAAGGCCTAGCCTGCATGTGTTGGGGTAGAGGAGGAAGTGGGGATGGCCGAGCAAGCAGCATGCCTAGGCCTGGGGGCAGGAGCTATGCCCTTCCTGGCACCCCCGCATACACAGCTCCTCCAAGGGGGTTTCTGGGTTCCTAGGCCTCTTGGCATCCTGAGAAGCATGTGGAAGGCAGAGCTAGCCTTGCTTCTCACCAGGGACAGATGGGGACACCCATGCATCCCCTGCCTCCCGCAGTCTCAGGGACATGGCAGATGTCTGCGACAGATAATGGGCTGCCCTCGAACTGAGGCCTGTCTCTGAGGGGAGGCTGTGACCGGATTCTTCCCCGACAGAGTCACCCTGGGATTCCTCAGAGCAAGTGCTCCGGTCGCATTCCAGATCATCCACTGGCAAAAGCATCACTTCTTACACGTGGTTTTCAGGGAAGTACCTAATGCAGAACGCAAGGGTGGGGTGGCAGGAGCGAGGCTGTACAGATACACAGAGGTACACTGTACAAGGCCGGGGAGGCCTGGGGGTCACCTCAGGTGGCCAAAGGCAGTGGCAGTGCTGCTGAAGTGGGCTGCTCCCACCCAGGGCCCACATCTTCCGACTGCCCCAGAATCTCGGGGGAGCGGCCTGAAGGCGGCCCGGGTCTCCCGTGCCCGGGTCTCCCGCACCCGTGACGTGTGCCTAAACCAGAAGCAGTTTTGGTTGCTCCAGCTGGGGCTGGTGCACGCACAATATACTGGGACTGCAAAGGGACCCTCAGAAGGGACACAGCACAGAGCCTCTCGCCCTCTGCCACCCCAGCTGAGTAGGGCCCAGGCCGCTATAGCCCCTGTTAATCCTGTGGGGCCCCAGGTTCACTCGTGGGCAGCAGTCCAGGCTGCGGCTGCAGGTGGCAGTGGGGCTACTCCCAGATGTGTGAGAGGGGAGCAGAGTAGGTGTGTCCCCCAAGGCAGCTGCTCCCTGAGGCTGACCCCTCCCATCCCGGCCCTGATCCGAGGGCATCCTGGCCCCTGACTTGCCCTGCAGGGTCAGCACTGCCGGGAGTCGGATCCAGGCTCACAACCGCTTTGTTAGGAACAGAGGTGGGGTCGGTTGGTGGCTGGGGAGGTCTGGGCGGTGACTCCCCTGCACCTCTCCCTGCCGGAGCCCAGGCTCTGCACGGCTGCTGCCTCCTGGCCCCAGCTCACTTGTTCTCTATGAGCATCTGCACCTTGTGGACGAGGTCCCGGGCAATCCGCAGGATCTCCTGGGCATCGTGATGCTCAGCACGTTCTGGGGGGAAACGTGAAGAGCTGTAGAGAGGCCCAGAGAAAGGGCAGCAGGCTAGGAGGTGGCTGACTACCCTGCTCTGTTTCCATCTGCTCTGCTAGATTCTTGACATCCCGGCCTTTGGGGAAGGGCCCCCAGGATTCCTGAGAACCCTCCAGCTGTGTGCGGGGCAGAGGTGGGGGCCTCCACACCTCTGCTCAGGGCAGCCTGGATGGCTGGACCAGCTCGTACCATTGAAAAACTTGATGATGTCAGTGAAGTCCATGTTGTTGTCACGGATGATCTCTCGGTAGGCCTCCACCAGGGCGAGGGCGATGAACAGGACAAAGTGCTCCGATGAGATGTGCCTGGCTGCCCAGATCACCTCCCACACAGCAAACACATCCTCATACAGCAGTTCTGCGGAGAGTAAGCGGCTGCTGCTCACCCGTCCTAGCCGCATATCTGGGGCTGAGGCTGGGATTGAGGCTGAGGCTGGGATTGAGGCTGGGGCTGAGGCTGAGGCTGAGGCTGGGGCTGGGGCTGATGCTGGCCGGACTGGCTGCTCACAGGCCTCTAAATGGAGCCAGGTGAGGGATCAGAGCTTCAGGGGCCAAAGTCGTGGGATTCTCTCCATGACACAGAGCCTGGCTCAGGAATGGGGGTTCTGTACCCCGTACCAAGGCCCCATCCTTTTCTTGGGTAATTTCTGCACACTGGGTTCCTGCAGACTCTGCCTGCACTTCAGCCGGGCAGCTGTCACAGGCCTCCCATCTTGGTGCTCAGGAATGCTTTGGTTTGAAAAAAGTTCCCCAAACTATGATCTATGAGAGTTGTAACTGTCAACCCTAGTGGCACTTCGGAATCACCTATGGAAATTTTGTTTTCTTTTCAATTTTTTCTTTTCTTTTCTTTTTTTTTTTTTGAGACACAGTCTGGCTCTGTTGCCCAGGCTGGAGTGCAGTGGCACAATCTCAGCTCACCATAACCTTGCCTCCACTACAGGCACCCGCCACCATGCCCGGCTGATTTTTGTATTTTTAGTAGAGACGGAGTTTCACCATGTTGGCCAGGCTGGCCTCAAACCCCTGACCTCAAGTGATTTGCTTGCCTTGGCCTCCCAAAGTGCTGGGATTACAGGCATGAGCCACCGCACCCAGCCTCATTTTTTCTTTCTTTTTTAAAAATTAAAGACAGGGTCTCGCTATGTTGCCCAGGCTAGTCTCAAGATCCTGGGTGCAAGCGATCCTCTCACCTTGACTTCCCAAAGTGCTGGGTTTACAGGCGTGAGCCACTGTGTCTGGTCAGCGAGCATTTAAGAACCCATAGGCCCAGGCAGCCACAGTTCATGAGTCTGGGCTGGGTGGGGCCAGGGTTCTGGCAGGTTTTAAAGCTCCCCAGGTGGTTCCAAGGTCCAGTTAGGATTGAGAACTGTTGGCTTGGGGGAAGAGGGATCTCTCACTGTCCCTGACCTCAGCCCCATGATCCAACCCACTTCTTACCTCTCTTAAAATCCAGCAGGAACCAGCGATAACAGAAGTAGAAGTGGGTGTAGTCTCCATTCTGATGCATCAGCTCAAACAGCTCTGAGTCCAGGATCTTATGTGGGTGGGAAAAGGGAGAGAGGCTGAGCCCTGAGCCGATGCTGCCTCTGGCCGCCACTCACCGTCCGCTCACGCCCAGGGATGCAGGCGATCCCCAACCTGGCAGTGGGTCTGTCTGTTGCCCTGTGCTGCGCGGTGCACTCTCTCCCCCTCGGATCTCCTTGTGGAGGGTGGGTTGCTCCTGCTGCCCCTCCCATCACCCATCTCTCTGAGCTGCATTATTTTTAGGGTTATAGGATTTTCTGGGTGTCTGATGTCATCAGCAACCCCTACTGTTCGCCAGAACTTTCATGGGCACGAGCATTCACACACACACACACTCCTCCTCAATTTCTAACGCTGAAACCATGGTTTTTTTTTTTTTTTTTGAGACAGAGTCTCGCTCTGTCACCCAGGCTGGAGTGCAGTGGTGTGATCTCGGCTCACTGCAACCTCCACCTCCCGGGTTCAAGTGATTCTCCTGCCTCAGCCTCCCGAGTAGCTGGGACTACAGGTGTGTGCCACCACGCCCGGCTAATTTTTGTATTTTTAGTAGAGATGGGGTTTCACGATGTTGGCCAGGCTGGTCTCAAACTCCTGACTTCGTGATCCGCCTGCCTCGGCCTCCTAAATTGCTGGGATGACAGGCCTGAGCCACGTTGCCCTGCTGAAACCATGTCTTTTAAAATGAAAGAAGTTAAGTTTCTATGTCAAGTATGTTTGTGGAATGCTCCCTAGCCATGTGGACGATGGACCAGCCCAGCACTGCCTGCTCCCATGCCCATGGGTGGCAACCGGCCTCACCTGGATGAGGGAGCGCATGTTGGCAAAGTGGGTGTCCATGGCACCCCCGTTGGGGAAGTTCTGGCTCATCCTCTTCATGAGGTGGCTGAAGCAGCTGTAGGCCAGCTGATCTGAGGGGAGACAGGAGTGAAGCTGGCAGGGCAGGAGACGCAGGGGACAGAGCCGGCTCCCATTCCCACCCCTCCAGACCTGGCCACCCTCTCGTCCTTTCTCCAGCTTACGCAGCCCAGTCCCATGTCCCGCCATCCCTCACCATTGTCGAGGGTGACCAGGAGAGGCGCCAGCAGATCGCACATGCCCTGCACATAGCCCACGTCCAGGTGCTCCCACACGTAGCTGAAAGGCAGGGGGAGAGTCACTGTGGCTGTGCCCCATTCTTCCCTCCCTCGGGATCCCTGGGAAGACGTCCTCCAGAGCCACCTGCCGCCCAGAAGTCAGCCTTTCCACGACCCTAAGGCATGTACTGTGCACCCCCCACAGGGAGACAACGGGGAACAACCCACGGGTCCCCCCCAAGGCACTCCGACTTAGGGAGAGCCAAGGCCGTCACGCTTGGTATGTGGGGCGGGGGTGCGGGGATGAGGGAAAGCTTCCTGAAGAGGTGTGGCTGAAGTGGAGGTCTGGTAGGCCCCTAAGAATGAAGAGGCGCGGGGGAGGGGTGTGCAGGAAAAAAGCGTTCCAGGCAGGGGGAGCCAAGTGTGATTCAGGAGCAGGAGAGAGGAGCAGGGCACCTTCCGGACCTCATCTTCACAGAGTAACTGGCGGCAGGGTCCCGCCTCCCACCCTGAGCCCCGCCCCACAAGGCACCTGCACATGACGTCTCTGAGCCTCTCGAGGTTGGGGGGCGTGAAGTACCAGTAGTTGCGGTCACACCTCTGCACATCCTTGTCTATGCGGTGCAGGTTTAAGGCCACAGTGTCCAGTAATTCTATCTGGAAGAGTGGAGGGCCCTCAGGCATGAGACCGGGCAGCCCTTCCCAGGCTGGGGGCAGGAGGTGACGCCCCAAGAAATGCAGCAAAACGGAACCCAGAGACCAGAGCGAGTCCTGTGGGGATGCTGAGAAATGGGCTCAGAACTCCCTTCCAGGGCAGTCAGGGCGCCCCGCCTTCCACCCCACCAGCGCTTCCCCAGCTCTGGGATGTCAGGAGGGCCTCTGGGGCGGCTGGGAACAGCCTGGGGAGCATGTACGCACAGTGTAGGCAGCCGCACACACAGCCGCAAGCTCCTCTCCGGCCTCCAGTTCTCCGGCCTGAGGCTTCTCCTGGCTGGGATCCTGGGGCTCCCTCAAAGTGTGAGCTGCAGGGCCGGGCCCACTGGAGCCTTCCTCCCCACCGCCGTCCTCCTCTTCGAAGCCCACGCTCTGCCCCTCATCTAGGCTTGACTGGATGCCCGAGGCCACGGAGTAATTGCGAGAGGAGGGCAGTCCTGAGTCTGGAGAGTCGAACTCCACGGAATGCTGCTGCTCCACCACGGCGGTGCCCGGAGTCCCGGGTCCTGCTTCCTGCTCAGGTTTTGGTCTGGAATCTTCAGGGTCCTGGGGCTCCGGGGGTTCCAGATCATCCACTGAGATAAACACCTGGGGGGTGAACACAGGGCGGCTCCACCTGCACTCCAGCACCTTCCCGCAGCCCACCGCCTCCTCGGGCCAGAAGGGAGCTGGAATGCAAAACTCTTCACACCCCCTCTCCCACCACAGCCTCCAACACTGTGGCCACGGGGCACCAAGCCAGCTTCTGACCCAGCCAGCCAGGCGGAGAGAAACAAGCCTCTGGCCAAACATGAAGACACGTCTTCAGCCCTGCTTGAAGGAACAGCCCCAGGTCTTCCTGTGGCTACTGAAGGGAAGTAGGGGAGCCAGGGGGCTGAACGCTCAATGGCCAGTTTGAACTCAGTCTCATTCTAGAAACGCCTGAAGTCATGAGACCGGGAGAATGGCCTTAGTGTTTTGGTGTGGCTGGGTGGAGAGAAGCCTAGAGGTTTTAGGAAAAACAAGTTTTGCCTTATTTTCAGTACTGAGTGTTCAGCAGGACAAGACAGGAACGTTCTGTAGCAAGCACCTAGTCAGTTCCATTAGCCCTCAGGCAAGGTGGGGAGATGTAGGAAGGAAAAGCAAACATTCTGCCTCCTAGATACAGTCCACCACCATGGACAAGGCACGAGGAAAAGAAGAGACACATACAGAGACTGTTTGGGATTTTTCTCTCTCTGTTTTCACCACGTAGGGAAAGCAATGCTAAAAGTAGTTTCTACTTTGGGCAGGAAGCATGAAGTGCTGGGTAAGGCCACGGTTCTGTGGCAATCTAATACGCCAGCGAGGAGCTACTGCTGTCCATGAGCTCAGCAGCTGGGCACTGGCACAGACAGATTTTTACAAAACCCAAAGCCAGAGAGAGGGAGAATGTGTTCCTGGATAGGGGATTAAGAACAAAGCACGTGGGAAATGACAATGTGCCTTGTTTGTTCTATTTCTTTTTTTTTATTTTATTTCTGAGGCAGGGTGTCTCACTCTATGGCCCAGGCTAGAGTACAGTGGTGGTATCACGGCTCACTGCAGCCTCAACCTCCATGGCTCAGGTGGTCCCCCCACCTCAGCCTCCCGAGAAGCTGGGACTACAGGCGCACCCCAACACATGCGGCAAAGGTTTGCATTTTTTGTAAAGACAGGGTTTCGCCATGTTACCCAGGCTGGTCTCAAACTCTTGAACTGAAGCAATCCTCCCACCTCTGCCTCCCAAAGTGTTGGAATTACAGGCATGAGCCATCACACCCAGCCAGTTATATTTAACTTACTTCAACTTACATTTTCTGTTAATGTTGGTAAGGATTTAGTAAAGTAACAAGAATACACATTATCTAAAGAGGCAATTTTAAAGAAAAATTAATAAAGCGTCCTTAAAATTGAAACTTATCAGTGTTGGTTGGGCCAGGCAGTCACAGTTTAGAACTTGCTGTTCAAAAGGCAGGAGTGATGCCAGAAAGAGCTACCCTCCCGTGCTCCGAACAAGCCTGCCATAGTCAGTTCTGTACAGTGACAGGCAACATCGCGGGGAGGAAGGATCTCGCCAGTCGACACCAATGGGGCTGCTCTACGGGCTCCCCTATTCTCAGGCCCACAGATCTCAGGAAGCCTCTGCAGTCAGAGGATATGGGTGGAGAGGGGAAACTGAGACCCAGAGACGGGAAGTGCTTGCCCAGAGACATTCAGCTTGTCAGTAGTGGATCTGGGACTAGAACCCAGCGCTGCCTGTTGCTAGCTTTGAGGTCTTTCTACAAGGAGGAGGGCTTCCCTAAATCCCAGTAAGTCCATCTTTCCCTATAGTTGGCTAAAACTGAGCACAATGCACTCTCTCACTTTATTCCTACAATACCCAGAGAAGTAGGCAGCAGAGGCACAGTTAGCCATTTCCAGTTGGAGAAAATGAGACACAGGCACCTTAGGCCTTTCTCGCAGGGCCCCACCAGTTCCCAGAGGTCAGGCTGGTGCTCAGGACCACTGTGCATAAAACGCGGGTGGCCCCCGAGACCCCCAACCCTCCAGGTCCCGTCTGGCTCACATCGTTGCTGATGGTGGAGTCTCGGTGGATGAGGCGCTGCACGTGGCTGTCGATGCTGCTGCCTGAGGAGAACTTGGTGCGTGTGGCTGGGTGGGCCTCCCGCTCCCGCTGCCTCACCACCACCTCGCAGGCCTTCCACTCTGCCAACACCTGCTGGTACCTTGCTGCCACCACTGCGTCCACCTGTACTCAGACCACACCACGACCATGGGGGAAGCGTGCACCAGGCCCTCCCCTTCAGGAGCTGGGCCTGCACTGGACCTTGGGTCCTGAGTCTCAGACTCAAGACGGGCCTCAGGGTAAGGACGGTGGAGCTGCCCTGCCATGCTTCTTTCCGGCTGGGAAGGGGCTGAGGCTTCCAAGGTCCCCTCCCTGGCGTCCCCTGGCCCAGCTCCCCATCTCATCAGCCCCATGGGAACAGGCTCCCCTCACCTGCTCCATCTCCTTCTTGCTCATGCCGAACTTGTAGTGGCCAAGCAGAAAGGGCCAGACGTCCTTGCGGATCTCGTGCTCTATGCCTCCGTAGTAAACTTGCCGCAGCAGCTCCAGCTCTTTGTAGTTCTGAGGGACCCGGGGAGTCAAGACTGTGCAGCCTCCACAGTCACCGTGGCCCAGCTGGGTGAGCCCCATCCCACGGAGAATGGGCTGGGGCGGGGCCTGTAGTGACTGCTGAAGCCCAGGCAAGGCCTGCTTTGGGGTGGCCACGTCCTCCCGTGCCCCAGCTCACAGTGGGATGAGATCTCGTTCTGCTCTCCTTCCTTAAGGGGCAGGAAATGGCGCCCGGAGAGAGGCAAAGCTTTGTCCAGGGTCACAGGGCGATGTGGAGGCAGGACGGCTTCCCAGTCCAGCCCCCTTCCCGTGTCAGCCCCAGGCCCAGCTGCAAGAGATTCTGCCGGGACCCTGGTCACTCCGTGGCATCGGCCCTGGCCTGTCAACCGCACCCACTGGCACATTTTACCCTGAAGCCCTCACTCCTGCCCGCCCCAGCCCCTCGACCTGTGGCCCTGGAACCCCAGGGTTGGCACCTTTTTGTCCTTCTGATACTTGCTCCACACGTCCTTGGTGAGGCCCGCGGAGGCCCCCGGGGGCCGGTCAGGTGGGATAACGCTATGGTGCACCAGCGCCGACAGGTGGGTCCGCACCGTGGACAGGTGGCGGCAGTGTGCCAGCCCTGCGGTGGGCAGCGGTGGGCAGCAGGAGGCTGGGACCCAGGGCCGCCCGCCCCCAGCCCGCCACAGCCCGGCGCGCCCCACACTCACAGCCGTAGAAGGCCCGGGACACGATCTGCCTCTTCATACTCTCACACAGTAGCCTGAGCGGCAACCTGTGGCAACAACCGGGCTCAGCAGGGAGGGGCTGCGGCCCCTCTGGTGGGAGGAGAGAGAGAAGGGAGGAGGCTCTGTCCTGGGGGGCAGGTAAGGCACTGGGGAGGGTGCGAGGAGGAGGAGCCGCAGCCCAGCAGCCGTCAGTGGGTGCCCTGTCCCTGCCTGCCACCTGGACAGAGTGCTGTGGGGCCCCCGCCTGGCCCCCAACCACCCAGGGATCTTGGTCAACGAACTTCACCTACATGAATCTTCGTTTCCTCATGTGAAAAATGGAGAGAGGCAGCGGAGGATCATCAGGATTAATAAACGGAAGACGAAGTAAAGGTAAAAGAGAACACCTCCCATAAAAGCCATTCACTCACTGCCCTGGCACACGGCAGGTGGCTGCTGAGTGTCCTCAGGTGGACGGCCTGTCAGCAGGGTCTGTGTGCACATCGGGAAGGGGAGCTCACGGGCACTGAGCCCATGATGTGCCGGCACAACTCCGGACCTTCACTTGGGTTCTCTCTCATTCTGTCCTCATAAGTACTGCAGGCAGCAAGTGGCATCATCCCCATTTTACAGATGAGGAAACTGAGGTTCAGAAACGTAGAGGCTCATGGTAATTCCATAACTTGTAAGTCACGTGGGTAGCAAAAGTGAAATTTGAACCCAGATCTGTCCCACTCTAGAGGCCACCCTGTCGTGCAGGTGACACGGCCTTTAAGGACAGACGGACACACACGTGGCTGGACACGCTAACGGGAAGCTGGGGCCGAGCGCTGCCCACTCACCGGTCGGGGATGCAGCTACAGTGGCTGGGGGTTGCATGTGGGGAGCTGCTGGAGGAGCAGGAGAGGCAGGAGGAGCCCTGACTGCACAGGGGCTCCAGGTGCCAGGCTGGCAGGCTGGGCCCAAAGCCCTGCATCTCGATCATGTCACCAGCGTCTGCGGGCAGGAAGGGTGGCATGGTCAGGGCCTGAGACACCTTCTCTCCCAGGCACCCTGCACCATGCCCACCTCTGTGCCCAGAGCTGCAGCATCAAGTCACCCATGGGTGGAAAATCACAGAGGTGGGGCCTGCCTGGTCCAGAGCCCAGAGATGGAAACGGTAGGGAGAGAGGGCGCCTGACACTTCCTAGCCTCCAGCAAGCCTGGAGAGGGGCGCAAGGCGTCCTTCTGCATGTGGTAAAATGCTTGGACTGAGTCTTGGATGATTGTGCCTAGCTCTATCCTGCGACCAGCAAGCACTTGCTTTTCTAGAGGGAAGGGAAAGAAAGAGAAGGAACAAAGACCTGAGCTCCTCAAAGCCACCAGCTAGCTCAGCCTTCACGGATTCAGCTCGGTCCTCTTGGCAAACTCTGAGATGCTCAAGGAGGTCTTTGGAATACTTCCAACTCTGAACGCTCCCCTCCAGGGAGTCCCCACTGTTCAAAGCCCCCGAGGAATCTGAGTCACCTGCCCGTAGGCCTGGCTCTTCTGGGGGAGTCTAGATCTGGTGGCCAGTGGCTACGGATGAGCAGTGCCCCGTGCCCAGGCCAGGTACCCCTGCTGTCAGCTCCTATGGCCCCTTTCTGAGCTCTGCTCCATCCCTGCCTAGCCTGACAGCAGTTAGCATGGTGGCCTCCCGAAAACACCAGGGAGCTGGATGGAAGTCACAGGTCCCAGGACTACGAGGCCACTGCGGGGCCGGGAGTGGTGGCTGGGCACAGAGGCCCACTATCCAATGTGACAGAGAAGAACAGGCCCAGTTGCAGCCTCAGAAGATGACTCCTTAGACACAGCTACGCTGCCAGCGACAGGGCCTGCCCAGCCAGCCCAGGCGGTCTGAATCAGAACTCAAGACCCTCGAGAGCTTCCACGGCCCACGTGGGGCAGGGCACTGCTTAAGGGGGACTCTGGCAGGTCCAGGGAGCCACAGACATGAAGCAAAGTGAGAGAGGAAGTGGAAGCACTGGGGGGTGATGCCGGGAGGGAGGGAGAGAGTGGAGAAGAGTTCGGAAGAACAGGGATGGAGAGCCGTGTGTGCTGAGGGAGTCCTGTCAGCAGCAGTTTGCTCGGCTGGCTCAGCCTGGGCCGGGGCCCACTGTGGCCTGCCGCAGGCGTGGGCCTGGCTTTGGTGGGAGCTGGACTCCAGCTCTGGGTGTGCCTTGGTGAGGAGGGCTGAGCTGAGCCCCTTCCGGTTCCCTCAGCGGTTGCCCTGCCTTGGCCGGGGCTCTCTTCCCAGACCCACGGCCGGGAGTTTTGCAGATATCTGGCCCTTCAGCTCCACCAGGAGGCAAATTAAGGGAACACGCGTGGTGAGGAGGGGCTGCGGCTCTGGGAGTGAGGGCGTTGCAAGCCATGCCTGAGACTCTGGGAAGAAGGGGAGGGTGCAGGTGCAGTGGGGCAGGAGCCCAGCTCAGGCCCCTGCAGCAGGCAGGAGAGAAGAGGACAGTCCCGGGAGGAGCCGGGGTGGGAAGAGGCCCAGCCAGGCAGGCAGCAGGCAACAGGCGGGCAGGCAGGGAGGGCAACAGGGGTGAGGGCGGGGGTGGGCAAAGGGAACCAAGCTCATGCCCAGAAAGGAGGCCCAGCCAAGGTCTCCTGGGCCAATGCTCTTCACCTTAATCCTCCAGGAAGGAGCTGAACCAGCCACATTCGAACACTGTCTCTGAGCGAGCCCAGTGCAGATAGCTGGGGCTATGGCGTGACTGGGTGAGGGCACAGGCTGGACGGGGGGAGGGGGGTCTGCTGGGTCAGCTTTGACTCTGACTCTCTCCTCTGAGCATGAGGAAAGTGTAAAGCAAGAAAACAGGGTGGGCGAACCCCACAGCCCCTAAGACTCCGAGTGAAAGGTGCCTGGCCTGGAGCAGAATTAGAGTGAATAGCATCTGCTCTGTGGGGAGGCAGCAGGAAAAGGAAGGGGAGAGGAAGAGGGAGGGAGAGGAAATTTGGACACCCCGCCACTGATTCACATGCACAAGTCAAGCATGTTGCAGGCCTGAAAAGCAACAGCTGGCAGAACGGACTCAACAGTGTTGTCATTATGGACTGGAGTGGAGGTGGGGGGCCCCCATTCCCCAGCCCTCTCCCCAACCGCCTGCTGATTCTGCTCTTATGCCTCCTCTCCTTTCCCAAGTATTAGGGGCCCAGAAGCTCTATACTAGGTTGGCCTAGCCCCTGAGTTCCTTGAGAGGATGCACAGATGAGCCCTGAGGCCTCTGGACCCCTGGAAGTGGGTCTGGAAGTTTCTCTGATCCCGGAGGCCTCAGCCCTAAGACTAGTCAGGGATAGGCTTTTTATCACCGAGTCTGCCAAGGGCTCTGCTAGGACCCTCCAGCCTCTAGCCTGACTACCAGTTCGTGGGGGAAGAAGTAGCTCCGTGGGTCCCCTCAGAGCTCAACCTTCCCACACTGCTCAGTCAGTTCACTGTAAATAGGCAACAGCCCCAAGTCCAGGTTTGCAAGAAACCAGATGGCAGGGGTGTGTGTAGGCAATAAACATCAGAAGTAGGATGTTCCCACCTAGGCCTGGCCTACGGGCTCATATTGGAAGGGCTGGGAGGGAGGGTGGGCATGAGGGCAGGCGCCTGGCAGTAGGAGGGCAGCTGGCAGCTTGTGCAGAGGGTGTGCTGGGTGTGTTCTAACACAGACCAGGCCGTCCTGCCTGCCCGGAGACAGTTACTGGATCAGTGGCCGGCTAAGGAACTGGGCTTCCCGGCAGAACTTTGGAAGCCTAAGGGGAGTGTGACATATTCTGAGGACATCCTCTGCAGGGGCGGGGAAAGGGAGAAGCAATTGATTTTGTAGCATGGGAATGGGTGGGAATGGGGAAGCTCCCCTCGTCTCTGGGAGAACTGGCCTCAGCCTCTTCCTACCCACCCCTTTCTGGAGCACCCATCCCAGCCCTCACAGGTCGCCTGGCTGATTGCTTGCTGAAAAGAGGGGGGCTCCCTCTCTACCAAGCCAGCTCTGTGCTAGGAAAGATGGGTGGTAGGCAGAGGAACCCTGAGAGGCTGAGGGCACTACGCTATCACCTCCAACAAAGGTGACCTCTCCATTCGTGGACCCTGAGACTCATGAGGGCAGGAACACATCTGTCTTATATCCCTGGCGCAGGTGAAGAGACGGAGCTCCGGGATAGTGAGAAACTTGCTCAAAACCACACAGTGAACCAGGGGCATATCTGGGGCGGGAGTTCATGTTGCCAGGCCCTGAGCCTGGCCCCTTCCTGGACACCATGCTGCAGCTATTTCTAGATTTCATGCCAAAGTACCAGGCCCTGCCGGCTGGGGCCCTCAGGCCTCCTGGGAAGACTGAGCCCTGGGGCCCTTCGCATGGCAGCCCTCAACCCCTCGCCTGACCCACAGCTGCTGCCCCTGCCCCAGGAAGGACCCGGTACCTCCATCCTGTTTCTGTTAAGTCAGGAGTCAGAAGCACCAGGCCCAGAGGCTGGTCTTCCCAATCAGCAGAGAGAAAGGAAGAGACCTCTGTCTGGCATTTGCCAGCCTGACCCCCGGAGTAGGAATGGGCTCAGAGATCCATTCAGGGTGCCCAGGAGGCAATCAGATAATCAGACCTTCCTATTAGCAAATCCTCTTCCTCCTCACAGCCTGGAGCCACCTGCCCTGGGCCAGCCCCTTTTCTTGCCAGCACCTGTCTGGCCTCCTTCTGCCCTCCCTGATCTGCCCCCGATGGAAGGGAACTGCCCTGGGTGCAAGTCCCCTAATGCCAACACTGCCGTTCGAACCCCTGTGGTGGGTGGCAGGCGGGCCCGGGAGGGAGGGTGGGGATGAGGTGGGTCAGGGAGAGGGAGGGATAAGAACCTTTCATCGGATTGGGAGCTGTGAGGTTCCGCGAGCAGATCATTGAGAGCATCGCGTGCAGTTTATCCTCCTCTTCCTCATCATCGTCCACCGAGGCCGCGCGGCTGGCCGCTAGGTGGTGGTAGTTAATAGTGACTGCTCAAAGAGAACAGCGAGAGGCAGAGGCATGAGGCCCTCATCCCTGGGCAGGACGGACTCCCTCCTTAAGGGGAGTGGAATGGAGGCCGGGGTCATCGTGAATCTGCAGGGCACAGAAGAGGGGAAGGGAGGGGACCAGAAAGCTCTTTGGATGATTTTCCTGGGAGAGTGTGGAAGGAGGCGAGGGGCTGGGGCAGCTGCAGAACCTCACTCTTCGGAGGCAGCCTCTCTAGGAAGAACAGAAGAGAGAGAACAGAGGTGGGAGGATGTGAAAGACCGGGACTGTCTGGGATGGGCTGGCAGCCCAGGAGGTCATCGGCCCTCACAGAGGCTGCGCATGACAGCTGGCAGATGGGTCCTGATCGTTCTCTAGCTCCTCTCAGGCTGGACCAAATCTGAAGATTACTCCAAATCCCCTTTTTCAGACTATAAATTCCACCTTCTTCCCTCCCAGGAAAAGGAAAGGGTTTTCCCAGAGCTGTCCTCAAGGAGCTGGAGTCGCTTGGTGGAGTTTCAGCCTCTGGGTGCCCTGGCTTGCCCTTGGCGAGGTGGTCCTGGAAGTGAAGTGACCAGGACTGGGAAATGGCAAAGATCGAAGAGGGGAGGCAGAGACTGGAGAAGCTAAACCAAGCAACAGCCTGAGACTAAGTGCCAAGTGTGTAAATACATTCTGGCCAAAGATGCGTCTCTTTGTCAGGTACATCTGGGAAGGGGGGACATCCCTGTGCCGTGTGCCCTCTGAGCCTGGTGGAGCTATCTGTGCTGTGGCTGAGTGTGCCGTCTGGGCAGTCCGGTCCCTAATACAGAGACAACTTGTTGACAACTTTTTGGCACAAGTTGGAAATTTAGGGAGCGGGTGGTCTTGTTAGCAATAAACGCTCTGGGCTGGCAAATTCCCCGACCTTATCTGTAAGAAAAGCAAGTCTGCCCAGAGAAGCCTATGGGCAGCAGCAGCACTCTGACCAGAAAGGGAACTTTGGTGTTGGTAGATGCACATAGACAGAGAGACCCCCTTGGGCCCAGGGGTGTGTGTCCAGGGTGGGGCAGGACCCACAAGGGCCAAGCCGCCTTTCTACCCGCCAGTGCCCAAAGCCCCCAGGCAGCCCCGAGTCTGCCTCTGATGCAACCTGCTACTTCAGCTAACGCTCATCAGTAGTTGGTTTGAGGAGGGCTCTGGCTCTAGGGGAGTCAGCAGACAATATTCACCATCCAAAAAGAAGCGCTGGGCCGGGCGCAGTGGTCACGCCTGTAACCCTAGCACTTTGGGAGGCTGAGGCAGGCAGATCACAAGGTCAGGAGTTTGAGACCAGCCTGGCCAATATGGTGAAACCCCATCTCTACTAAAAATACAAAAATTAGCCGGGCATGGAGGTGTGCGCCTGTAATCCCAGCTACTCAGGAGGCTGAGGTAGGAGGATCGCTTGAACCCAGGGGCAGAGGTTGCAGTGAGCTGAGATCACGCCATTAAACTCCAGCCTGGGTAAAAGAGCGAGACGTCGTCTCAAAAAAAAAAAAAAAAAAAAAGTAGCGCTGGTCCCATACCCAGGCTGTCTTGTAGGGGTTGGGGAGCAGGAGGTGAAGAGCAATGGAGGGTTCCCCACCTTCTACTTCTCGTTTCTCCACGTGTTTTACCCCTGGACAGGGTCTGAAAGGATAACTAAGAGTCTTGTGTAGTGACGCCTAGGTCTGCTGAGCCAAGAGTCCTGGCGTGGAGAAGTGGGGAAGGGAGCTGGGTAGAAGAGACGCACCTTTTCAAAGGCAATATCTGTGGGTAAAAGGTCCAGCTGAGAGGCTAGGCGATGAGCCTCTGGTGTTAACCTGGCCTGGTCAGTGGGCCCTGCCTGCTGCCCTCCTGGGTGACGCTGCGCTCCCCGCCTCCCAGAGCGTCTTCCTCTCCTCCCCCGGGATGAAGCTCGGGACACTCACTGTGCTCGTGCCTGTGGCCGGGGTAGATGATCCGGAACACATAGTCGGTGGCCCGCCCCGTGCCCATCTCCTCCATATCCACGGAGCGAATGCTGCTTCGTTTCCGTAGCTTGGGGAACACTTTCCCCTGTGGAAGGAGGGGTAGGTGGTCGGGCTGTATAGGGCAGAGTCTCATCCAGGGTTCCACACAAGGCCGCTCCTAAGAACTCCACGTGGGGAAGGAAGGGAGGCGGGCAGAGAACCCCACACACAGCCCTTCCCCTAAAGCCTCCCACCCGAGTTACCTTCCCTTGCTGGGTCCACAGCGGGGGCTCTAGCTGTCCCCGAGGCAGCAGCCCATTCTCCAGACAGGACAGAAAGGACAGCAGGTGTCCTCCCTGTGGGAAATGCAGCGGCGGCCTCTGGATGCCATCCTGGCTCACCAGCACAAGCGTGCCACCGCTCTCTGGGGGTGAACGTGGAGAGTGCGGCTGAGGCCCTCTCGTCGGCTATCACACCCTGCTGGCCAGTGCCCCCAGGCTGGGTAGGAGGCAGATGGCTGGGCTACAGCATGGCCTGGGAGCCCCATTAACAAGGATGGGAGGAGGACGAGGAGTCTTACAGGCCCCACGCACAGTGCACAGCTGGCAGAAGGCAGCCTCTCCCTTCCCACCCGAGCCGAGGACAAGGCAGGCTTACTTTGCTGGTGGCAGTGGATGCACACGACCTGGCTGAAGGGCACCACGAGGGCATAGTCCCAGTAAACGCTAGAAAGGAACCAGACTGCTGTCACTGTGTCCAAAGACCTGCCATCCTTCCTTCCTTCCTTGTCTCCTGGTCCTACCACCCCACGAAACTCCCCTGAAGATAGGATGACCATAGCCAAGAGGTGCACACAGCCAGCCATGACCCCTGAGATCTGTGCTGCCCGCTCGGCACATGGACAGCTGTCCGTCTCAGCCGCTGAGAGCTTGGCTCAGACAAACCTCTTCACGGCCAGGCTTGGCTCCGTCCTAGAGAGCTTGGGAATCACTCCAGGCAGCCGCTCCCTGCTATTCTTGGCGTCCAAATAAAGAGTGAGGTTGGCCTCCTGGAGCAAGCGGGGTTTCTCCATCCCTCTGCCTGAGGTCAAACCCACTCCCTGCCCTGGCTCCTGGGATTGAGTCCCAAAGCCCCCACCTCTTTTCCAGCTCGGAGTCCCCCAGAGTCCCATTCATGAGCTGGTTGGGGGTCCACTTCAGAGTCAGGCTCTCTGCAGACTGGTGCAGGGAGAGGTAGCCAGGGACCGCCTCCATATCCTCCTTCTACAGCGGGAGACACCGGAAGACCGACGATGAAGGGCTGAGAGGCTCTCAGGGATGGCCTATGAGAAATGAGCTCCCGCTGGGAGGAGGGGAGGCCAAGCTAGGCTAGTCACGGGGTCCTGGACTAGGGACGGGGCAGAAGCACAGGAAAACAGGACTCAGTTTCCCTGGTCAGCCTGGTGCCACTGACTCTCTCCTGCCAGCCTCCTGGATGCCAGGTCCATTCCAGGCCAGCCATACCCACACTGCGGACTCCCCTCGCCTGCTGGCTGCCATTCCTGTCCCCTGCCAACTAAAGGCTGGGCGTGAGTCGTGTGAAACAGGGAGTTGGGAGGCTGGGGCCATTCTCCCCCCCGTCTCTGGTCAAGCTCCTCAGGAAAGGAATAGCCATGGCTAGAGGCTTCCAGTCGTCTCGTTCGGGGACCTTCGGGGAGGGATGGCAGGATGAAGCTTTCCTACCGGCTGCACCAGCACGTGGTTCTTGCCATAGAGCAGCCGCGTCCGTGAGTTCTGGTGCAGGGACTCCACACACTCGCGGGCACAGGCAGCCAGCCTGTCCTCCGACGCGCTGCCGCTTGAGTGCCGTTTCCGGATCTGTGTGGAAGGCCGGGGCTCAGCCTCCAGCCTTGGGAAACTGGCCTCAAGGCTTGGGAACCCTCACGCTTCCATGCTGACCCTCTCCAGCTGACCCCAGGGGTCCTTCCTGCCCCGGTTTACTCCCAGCCACCCTCTGCTCTCCAGCCACGGACCAGCATGGGCTCCCGGCATTTGTGTTAAGTTTTATTGTGCGGAGAAGGCTCTTCTGAGGCAGCCGCTACCTTGGGGCATCTCCAAGGCCTGTCCCGTAGAGAGGCCGGTTTCCCGTCCCTACAGGCCCATGGGCATAGCCCAGATGAGCCCAAAGGGTGGGGAGGGGGCACCTACCCCCAGGGCTGGGCGCTTTGCAGGGGAGTCCTGGCGAGTAGGTGGACCCCGGATGCGGTGCCGCTGGACCAGCTCATCAGCAGAGGGGTCAGTCCAGTAGTGATCGGCTGTCTTGAGCTTAGTGTATTCCAAGGCACAGGGTCCCACTGTGGAGACAGAGACAGCCAGCCCAGACGATGCTCCCTCAGCACCTGCCCCGTACCCACTGTGCCTGTGCTCTCAGGCTCACCTAGAAGAGAGGCCAGGATCGGGCCGAACACAGGGTCTGCCAGCAGTGCCTCCTTCTCGTAGTACTTGCTGCCAGGAGACAGACAGTGTGACTGCCGAGGCTCCGGGGCTCATTCCAGGGCAGTCAAGCTCACCAGGTAGGGACATCCCCACAAAGACCAGATTCAGATCAGTCATCAAGAAACAGTGAGTCCTTAGGGACTGGGCTTCGTGAGGTGCCTGGTATGGCCAATGCCTTGAGGGCACCGAAGGGGACGGGGAGATGGAGGGTTGCCTACAGGCTGTCACGGACAGGCAAGCATCCTGAGGGCTGGGGCTGAGGGACGTCGGGAGACGGGTCAAGGGAGGGGCTGCTTGGGGAACGAGGCGGTCACCTGCAGTTTTTGGGGAACGGGGCGGTCACCTGCAGTTTTTGGGGAACGGGGCGGTCACCTGCAGTTTTTGGGGAACGGGGCGGTCACCTGCAGTTTTTGGGAACGGGGCGGTCACCTGCAGTTTTGGGGGGAACGGGGCGGTCACCTGCAGTTTTTGGGGAACGGGGCGGTCACCTGCAGTTTTTGGGGAACGGGGCGGTCACCTGCAGTTTTGGGGGGAACGGGGTGGTCACCTGCAGTTTTTGGGGAACGGGGCGGTCACCTGCAGTTTTCCGCCAGGTATTGCACGACCTTGTCCAGAACTTTCTCGATGAGCGCCGTGCGTACCCATACGTGTTTCAAGGCCTGAGGGCTGAGGGCCGGGGCCTTCCCGCTGGCTGAGCCCTGTCTCCGCAGGGCCTCCTGGCTGACCCCTGAGGGTTTCCTGCAAAGGCGGGGAGGGCTCCAGGAGTGCAGTGGTCTAGGGGTAAACCCCAGAATGCTGGCATTGGGAGTGGGGCTTGGTACCCCAAGATGGGAGCACAGAGAACTGACTGGGGTTGGGAGGTGAAGGAGGGGTACAGAGCCTTGTGCCCACAAGGAACCAATCCCCTCCCTCAAGCTGATCCCTCACCCAGAGGCCCTGCAAGGAACAGGCCCAGGATGCCAACTTTCCGATGGGTGTCCTAGGAAGTAGCAATTGCCAAGTGGGAAGAGCTGAAAGGAGGGAAGAAGGGGCTGGCCCAGGGCTCACCTGCCCTCTGCTTGTTGCTGCAGCTCCTGTACCTTGTGGCAAATCTCCCCCGCCACTGGGCACGTCTTCCCCACCTTGGTGAACAGGGCTGCCATCTTGTCACTGCGCAGGAAGCCAGCGGCACGGCGTCTCAGCTGATGCAAGAGGCAAGCCTCCACTGCACCTAGGCCACAAAGGGAAACGGCATCTGAGCCTGGGAAAGACGGGGGAGCAGGAAGAAAAGCTCCTCTTCCCCATACCTGTGGTGAGGCAAGGGGTAAGGGCAAGCCAAGGGCAGGCCAGGGAGATACCCTGGCTTCCTTCCAAAATTCCCCTCCCCGTCCCTCGGCTCCTGCCCGGGGCGAAGAGCTTTGACATGCCAAGCTGTCCCTCTCCCTCGCCTGGTGCGCACACACCTCCTATATGCAGCCTCACCCCTGGGGGTCATGAGGACCAAAGCTCCCCATTCAGGGTGGCATGAGTGGCTCCAAACCTGACAGCAAGGCACAGCACCTACAGGACGGGGATGTGAGGAACACCCGACTCGGGAGCCTTTCTGGAGGGCACGGAGGATGCGGTTGCTAAGGAACAGGGCTCTGCAGGAGCTAAAATATTGATGAAGTCACTGCAGAGCTTGGACCCGACAGTGGCCGCTGGACTGATGAGCCCAGCAGCTGAGGGAGAGATTTCTCTTTTCCATGCTAGGAGGGCTTCCCTCCATTCATTCATGGTTTAGGGTTAGGCTTAGTCTCTGTCTGGACTTTCCACAGACAGACCCTGCAGGAAGAAAAGAAGGGCTTGGTAGGAGACAGTAGGGAGCTGCCCTGTGCCCAGACAGACTCTAAAGACAGGAGTGTGTATGTGTGTGGGGCGGAGAAGCTTCTACATGATTGGGCCAAACTAACAGTTTTACAGGTGAGGAGGGAAAGGCCCAAAGAGGGGAAGAAACTCGATCACAGTCACAACATGGCAGAGCCACCAGGATGAGGACCCAGGGCTCCAAGCCTCGGCCCGAGCCCCTTTTGCCACGTCCAGGTGTGTCTGGTTGGGGGCAGGGACACTGAGGGGAGAAGGAGGTGGTTTTTTCACACGGACTGGAAACAGTGAGCTGTGCTGGAGACAGTCAGACAGAACAAAGTCTGAGCTTGGCACGGTCACTTGCTCTGAGACTCAGTTGTATCCTCTGTGAAATGGGAAGAGGGCTAGTGTGAGATGTCACATGAGACGGAGGATGTGAAATCACCCATGCGGGGTCTGGCTCTCAGGAGGTGCTGGGTCTAGGTCAGTTCCTGACTCCTCACCCTGTTGGTTCAGATACAGTTCTACAGCTAGCCTCTAAGAGCTGGCTTTCAGCAGGACCTCTCCCCGACAGGGACAGGAAGAGGGTGCACTGGAGAGACGATCCAAGGCTGCCCCAGAAGTGGGTGGAGACAGGGAAATTGAGGTCTGTCAAGGTTTTTTTATTTTTATTTTTGAGACAGGGACCCACTCTGATGCCCAGGCTGGAGTGCAATCGTGGAATCTCAGCTCACAGCAGCTGAGAGCTGACCTCTGTGGTTCAGGTGATTCTCCCGCCTCAGCCTCCCGAGTAGCTGAGACTACAGGCACACACCACCATGCCCAGCTAATTTTTGTATTTTAGTAGAGACGGGGTTTCGCCACGTTGGCCAGGCTGGTCTCGAACTCCTGACCTCAAGTGATCCGCCCGCCTCGGCCTCTCAAAGTGCTGGGATTACAGGCGTGAGGCACCGCGCCCGGCCCACATGGGGAAATCTTTGGCTTAAGCGTCCACATGCTCCTCTCCATGATCATTCCCCCTGGTCCCTGGAGGTCTTGTGTGGCCCTGGGATATACAGGCGAATGACCCTTTTGTCCCAGTCTCTTGGTCCTGGGCTGCTGCAGCTACAATTCCGTGCCTGTGGAAAGGGGGTGATCATTTCCTGGGGTTGCACTTCCCATTCAGAGTGGGGAGAGAAGCAGCACTGAACAGGACAGAGGGGCAGCAGGTGGCACATGTCCTGCACGGATCACATGCCTCAGTGGTGTGATTAATTGCCGGGATAATGAGTCATTCGCTTCCCCACCTTCCCTAGGCGACCGCAAAAGCAGCCAGGCCGTGGGGACTGGGGAGTGGCCGGCCCCAGCACTCCCATCGGGGTGGCCTCGCCTACCTTCCCGGCCAGCCTCTGAGCACAGCCATGGGGTTCTCTCGGGTGAGAGGAGGCATTCCTAAGCAATTACTGCAACTAAGGAATACTGAGAGAAGCCAGGCATCACGCTCAGTCCCCCCTTTACCCCACGGTCCCTAATTTCCTTCTGTGCAACCCAGGCAAGGTGCCAGGCAGTGTCTGGGGAAGGAGAAATCCCTCTCATGCATCGACTTTCCAAGCTAAGACCAGTTAGGCCATTAGGCCAGGCATTACTGACTCAGCTCTGTGGGCTCCCGGCCAGTAACTGTTCACACTGCACTTGTCCTATGCCATGCCCACAAGGTGTTCCCCACCGAGAGTGTGCACGTGTGATGAATATGTTATCGCGTGCAGTGTGCAGACAAAATAATAATAGTGACACCACTACTTGAGAACTATGGCCCCGAGAGGACTTTGTGAATGGGCTTCTGGGGCTCCAAAAACTCCCTCCCTGGGTCTGGGCGCCGTGGCTCACGCCTGTAATCCCAGCACTTTGGGAGGCCGAGGCAGGCGGATCATGAGGTCAGGAGATTGAGACCATCCTGGCTAACACGGTGAAATCCCATCTCTACTAAAAATACAAAAAATTAGCTGGGCGTGGTAGGGGGCACCTGAAGTCCCAGCTACCTGGGAGGCTGAGGTAGGAGAATCACTTGAACCTGGGAGGCAGAGGTTGCAGTGAGCCGAGATGGCGCCACTGCACTCCAGCCTGGGGGAACACAGCGAGACTTTGTCTCAAAAAAAAAAAAAAAAAAAAACAACAACAACAACAAAAAAGAGCCCCTCCCTGATATTGGGAGCAATTTGAATGCAAATTGTTGAGGTGCTCTAGAATGATTAGGAGAGTGCTTTTTTTCCTGGATAGTAGGTCTGTGGTTCTCAGCTTCTGACCCAAAAAAGATTAAGAAGCCGTTTTTTTTGAGACCGGGTCTCACTCTATTGCCTGGTCTGGCGTGCAACGGTGCAACCACAGCTCACTGCAGTCTCAGCCTCCTGGGTTCAAGCCATCCTCCCACCTCAGCCTCTCAAGCAGCTGGGACTACAGGCTTGGGTCACTAAGCTTGGCTAATTTTTAAAAATTTTTTGTAGAGACTGAGGTCTCACTATGTTGCCTAGGCTGGTCTCCAATGCCTGGCTCAAGTGATCCTTCCACCTCAGCCTTCCAAAGCGCCGGCATTACAGGCTTGAGCCACTGAGCCTGGCTCTGAGACTTCTGAGTCGAGCAGAAACCCAGGCATTGTCACTAATTGAAACATACATGGAGACATAAACACATGCCATCCCGCATCTAGTGAATACCACACTCAGAACTGCCTGCAAAGCCGGCAGCAACAGTGTCCTCCTTCCCCGGGGACGTGTCTCACAGACACGGGACGGTGAAGGACCCTTCCCCAGGGAGAGTCCACATGACGGCCCAAGCTTATCCCCCGTTCTGACTGGAGGCCCAGAGCACCAAGCAGAACTCCAGGGCCTTACTCCCCTTACTCCTTCCTTCCCCAGGTCCCCACTGTGACCCCACCTCCCAGGGTGGAGGGTGGTGGCAGGAGATACTTGCAGGGCTAAAGCACCAGGTTAGCTGAACCTACCTGCCTGCTGACTGAGCTGTCTGGGCCCTGGGCTCCCACCTGTGAAGGCTTCAGGACCCCTGATCCAGTGGGTCCCAGCACCAGCTACGGCCACCCTGGGTGCACCACCACAAGGTGATGACCCTGACATTATTTGGCTTATTTCATATGAGAAAAAATGTGGACTAATTAATAAAAACCAACACTGGTTGGCATGGAAAGGTTTGGGCAAATGAATCAAAATGGAGAAGAGAGAAACATGACTTTAGTGGCTGGGCATGGTGGCTCACACCTGTAATCCCAGCACTTTGGGAGGCGAGGTGGGCGGATCACCTGAGGTCAGGAGTTCGAGATCAGCCTGGCCAATATGGTGAAACTCCGTCTCTGCTAAAAATACAAAAATTAGCCGGGTGTCGTGGTGGGCACCTGTAGTCCCAGCTACTTGGGAGGTTGAGGCAGAAGAATTGCTTGAACCTGGGAAGCAAAGGTTGCAGTGAGTTGAGATCGCGCCATTGCACTCCAGCCTGGGTGACAAGAGCAAAAACTCCATCTCAAGAAAATAAAATAAAAAGAATAATAGTCTCCAATCCCATCCAGGTTGCTGCGAATGCCATGAATGTATTCCTTTTTATGGCTGAGTAGTATTCCACTGTATGTATTTATCAGTTTCTTTATCCACTCGTTGAATGATGGGCATTTGTCACCCTGGTTTTCTGGTGGCCTTTGGAGTCTGGGCCAGCTGAGCCCAGGTACATTCTCTACCCTGTCAGCCCATCCCATCCTGCTGACAGCAAGGCTCAAGGAACTGCAACTCTGAGTGGGCAGGAGCATAACTGCATTTAACTCCAGCACACTGTTGGACACCCCTACAAAGGTCTGGAGCCATCTTCCCAGGGAAAGGCCAGGAACTACAGACCCAGACTAGCCCTGGGGCTCCCTTCACCAGCCCCGATGTGACCTCAAAGCCATCAAGTTCTGCAGCCTAACAAATGCTACACACGGCTGGAGACCACAGATGCTGATGGAATCCTATGGGCACCCCAACCCTTACACCCCAATTCCACCATTCTAAGATATGGGGTCCCTTCCCTAACCCTTACACCCCAATTCCACCATTCTAAGATATGGGGTCCCTTCCCCCAACCCTTACACCCCGATTCCACCATTCTAAGATATGGGATCCCTTCCCCAATCCTTACACCCCGATTCCACCATTTTAAGATATGGGGTCCCTTCCCCAATCCTTACACCCCGATTCCACCATTTTAAGATATGGGGTCCCTTCCCCCAACCCTTACACCCCGATTCCACCATTTTAAGATATGGGGTCCCTTCCCCAATCCTTACACCCCGATTCCACCATTTTAAGATATGGGGTCCCTTCCCCCAACCCTTACACCCCGATTCCACCATTTTAAGATATGGGGTCCCTTCCCCAATCCTTACACCCCGATTCCACCATTTTAAGATATGGGGTCCCTTCCCCCAACCCTTACACCCCGATTCCACCATTTTAAGATATGGGGTCCCTTCCCCCAACCCTTACACCCCGATTCCACCATTTTAAGATATGGGGTCCCTTCCCCCAACCCTTACACCCCGATTCCACCATTTTAAGATATGGGGCCCCTGCCCCCAACCCTTACACCCCGATTCCACCATTCTAAGATATGGGGTCCCTTCCCCCAACCCTTACACCCCGATTCCACCATTCTAAGATATGGGGTCCCTTCCCCCAACTCTTACACCCCGATTCCACCATTCTAAGATATGGGGCCCCTGCCCCAACCCTTACACCCCGATTCCACCATTCTAAGATATGGGGTCCCTTCCCCCAACTCTTACACCCCGATTCCACCATTCTAAGATATGGGGTCCCTTCCCCAACCCTTACACCCCGATTCCACCATTCTAAGATATGGGGTCCCTTCCCCCAACCCTTACACCCCGATTCCACCATTCTAAGATATGGGGTCCCTTCCCCCAACTCTTACACCCCGATTCCACCATTCTAAGATATGGGGTCCCTTCCCCAACCCTTACACCCCGATTCCACCATTCTAAGATATGGGGTCCCTTCCCCCAACTCTTACACCCCGATTCTACCATTCTAAGATATGGGGTCCCTTCCCCCAACCCTTACACCCCGATTCCACCATTCTAAGATATGGGGTCCCTTCCCCAACCCTTACACCCCGATTCCACCATTCTAAGATATGGGGTCCCTTCCCCCAACCCTTACACCCCGATTCCACCATTCTAAGATATGGGGTCCCTTCCCCCAACCCTTACACCCCGATTCCACCATTCTAAGATATGGGGTCCCTTCCCCAACCCTTACACCCCGATTCCACCATTCTAAGATATGGGGTCCCTTCCCCCAACTCTTACACCCCGATTCCACCATTCTAAGATATGGGGTCCCTTCCCCAACCCTTACACCCCGATTCCACCATTCTAAGATATGGGGTCCCTTCCCCCAACTCTTACACCCCGATTCTACCATTCTAAGATATGGGGTCCCTTCCCCCAACCCTTACACCCCGATTCCACCATTCTAAGATATGGGGTCCCTTCCCCAACCCTTACACCCCGATTCCACCATTCTAAGATATGGGGTCCCTTCCCCCAACTCTTACACCCCGATTCCACCATTCTAAGATATGGGGCCCCTGCCCCAACCCTTACACCCCGATTCCACCATTCTAAGATATGGGGTCCCTTCCCCCAACTCTTACACCCCGATTCCACCATTCTAAGATATGGGGCCCCTTCCCCCAACCCTTACACCCCGATTCCACCATTCTAAGATATGGGGCCCCTGCCCCCAACCCTTACACCCCGATTCCACCATTCTAAGATATGGGGTCCCTTCCCCCAACCCTTACACCCCGATTCCACCATTCTAAGATATGGGGCCCCTGCCCCCAACCCTTACACCCCGATTCCACCATTCTAAGATATGGGGTCCCTTCCCCCAACCCTTACACCCCGATTCCACCATTCTAAGATATGGGGTCCCTTCCCCAACCCTTACACCCCGATTCCACCATTCTAAGATATGGGGTCCCTTCCCCCAACCCTTACACCCCGATTCCACCATTCTAAGATATGGGGTCCCTTCCCCAACGCTTACACCCCGATTCCACCATTCTAAGATATGGGGTCCCTTCCCCAACGCTTACACCCCGATTCCACCATTCTAAGATATAGGGTCCCTGCCCCCAACCCTTACACACTGATTTCACCATTCCAAGAGACCCAATTTAGAGTAGAGGAGACGCCAGGAAGACACAGATGGAAGGGACGTGGGGAGCTGCTGAATCCATTCATATATTGCTGGTAGGTAGGCAAGATGCTGCAACCCGTATAGACGCAATATGGCCCTCTCCACTAATGCTGCAAATAACCTCTGATCCAGTAACCCCTCTTCTGAGAATCCGTCCTACAGATATAACTGCGTGATTATTTAGTTATAACAGCAAAAGACTGGAAGTCATCCACATGCCCATCAATAGGGGACAGGTGAAGTAAATATGGTACATCTCTAGCAGAATATCATGCAACTCTGAAAAAGAATGAGGATGCTCTCTAGGAATGAATAATGGAAAGCTCGCCAACAGCAAGATGCAGAATGGTATAATTGCATGACACCTTTTAATTACAAAAAGGGAGGTGTGAACAAAGAATACAATCTTTTTTATTAGTATAAAAAACTTGGCTGGGCGCGGTGGCTCACGCCTGTAATCCCAGCACTTTGGGAGGCCGAGGCGGGTGGGTCACGAGGTCAGGAGATTGAGACTATCCTGGGTAACATAGTGAAACCCCGTCTCTACTAAAAAACAAACAAAAAAACTCTAGGTCAGGTGCAGTGGCTCACATCTATAGTCCCAACAGTTTGGGAGGCCAAGGTGGGAAGATCACTTGAGCCCAGAAGTTTGAGACCAGCCTAGGCAACACAGGGAGACCCCATCTCTACAAAAAATTTAAAAACTAGCTGGGTGTGGTGACATGAGCCTGTATTCTAGCTACTCAGGAGGTGGAGGTGGGAGGATTGCTTGAGCCCAGCCCAGGAGGTTGCAGTGAGCTGAGATTGCACCATTGCACTCCAGCCTGGGTGACAGAATGAAACCCTGTCTCAAAAAACAACCAAACAAACAAAAAACCAACATAAGAAAACCTCTAGAAGGATGCATGAGAAACAAAAGTGGTTACCTGTGTGGGACTCGTACATAGACAGGAAGTGGGTGAATAAGAGCAGAGAAAGGAGTGAGACTTTTCACTGCACGCTTTTTTTTTTAAAGACAGAGTCTCAGTCTGTCACCCAGGCTGGACTGCAGTGGGCACAATCTCTGTTCACCGTAACCTCTGCCTCCCAGGCTCAAGTGATCCTCCTACCTCAGCCTGCTGAGTAGCTGGGACTGCAGGCGTGCACTACCATGCCTGGCTAATTTTTAAAAATTTTTAGTAGAGACAGGGTTTCACCATGTTGCCCAGGCTGGTCTCGAACTCCTGAGCTCAAGCAATCTGCCCGTCTCAGCCTTCCAAGGTGCTGGGATTACAGGTGTGAGCCAATGTGCCCGGCCCCACTGTATCCTTTTTATATGGTTTTGATTTTTGAACCAGTTAAATATATTATGAATGCAAAATTAATTATAATAATTGAGTGGGTGACCAGCACTAGGGTTCCCATCATGAGATGATGCCAGAGAGTCTCTCCAATCTAGGTGTGAATCAGAATTCACAAAACCCAGGAAGGCTGGGTCGCCCGTGGGCATCTCGTTTCACCTCCTCCCTCAACAAACAGGATCTGTGGAATCGTTTGGTTTCCCACCACTAGGGGGCGCATGTGGGCTCTGCTTAGGGCAGCAGCAGGTGACCTGAGCGGGGCAGGGATTAGAGAAACGATCCAGAGGGCTGAGACAAGCTAAGGTGTCTCAGGAGCTCACAGAAATGAACTATAGCTCGGCTGCTAGAATATGCAGCAGTGGGCCGGGCGCGGTGGCTCACGCCTGTAATCCCAGCACTTTGGGAGGCCGAGGCGGGTGGATCACGAGGTCAGGAGATCCAGACCATCCTGGCTAACATGGTGAAACCCCGTCTCTACTAAAAATACAAAAAATTAGCCGGGCGTGGTGGCGGACGCCTGTAGTCCCAGCTACTCGGGAGGCTGAGGCAGGAGAATGGCGTGAACCCGGGAGGCAGAGCTTGCAGTGAGCCGAGATCGCGCCACTGCACTCCAGCCTGGGCGACAGAGCGAGACTCCGTCTCAAAAAAAAAAAAAAAAAAAAAAAAAAAAGAAAATGCAGCAGTGGTTAGGAGGGTCATCAGTCAGCCCAGGGAGCCTCAGAAGCAGGGCTGGGTCTCTGCACCTGCATTCTGCCTTGGCTCTCATGTGCATATATATCTACGTTGAAAGCTGCACTCAGCAGCCTGGACAAGCCCAGCCTGGTAACAGTGGGAACCACTCAGTGGCCTTCAGAGGACTAGCCTAGTTTGCTTGAGGTACAGGGACAGAGTTAGCACAACTCAACATGAAACTGGGCCTGAGATGCTGGGCCCGGAGTTGGGAATGGGAGGACAGCAAGTTGGCAGGTGTGGCTTGCTCCCCACCTCCGGCCCGGTTTCACCTTTTGCTACCAGCTGCCATCTGCACGACAGGGGAGTTCAGCCACCGCTGCCACACAGAACCCAAGCGAGGAAGTGCAAGCAGGGCAGCCAGCCTCAGGTAGTCCATTCTGGACCTGGGGCTTTGGGAGACGCTAATTAGAGCAGAATTCAAAAGCCCAATGCCTGCCTGGGGGCCAGTGGTTCAGGTCCCTGGATGGTGGAACCAACAATGCCGGAGAGGAGCAGCCTTCCTGGAGATAAAGGAATGGGTGGGAGGACCCGCCTCTTTCAAGTAACAACTGAAGGAGAAGAAGCATCAAGTATCTTTACTCCAACTGCCGGTGGAAGGAGCCAGTGTTTCATCTGCCACAGACAAGGTGAGAGGAGCGAAGGGCCATCGCCAAGTGTGACCTGCCCCTCTCTTCCCCGCTTCTCTCCCTGGCTATTTCCACCCAGGGATTTGTAGTGGCTGCCTTTACTCAGATGAGCGTTTCTGCGGTAACTAGGGTGCATTTTCTCTCAGCCTGCACTGGTGATACTGGTTGTTTGCTTCAACTTTGGAAGGCATTCAGCCCTGCTCAACCCCCAAAACAAGAAAGCAACATTCGCAACTGGACTCTGATTGGGAGGATAAAGAACTGTCCTGAGGCGGGTAGGTCACTTGAGGTCAGGAGTTTGAGACCAGCCTGGGCAACATGGCGAAACCCCGTCTCTACAAAAATACAAAAAAGTAGCCGAGCGTGGTGGTGCGTAGACCTGCAGACCCAGCTACTCAGGAGGCTGAAGTGAGAGATCGCCTGAACCCAGAACCTAGAACCAAGGAGGGGGAAATGAAATCCATGCTACACATCCCATTGTCCTTGTCCTGCTGGAGATGCAAGACAGGGTCCGCATGCACAGTGCTCATGGCGGCTACCCAGGGAACCAGGCCAGGGCCAGCCTCTCATGCAGTGGACACTGATGTGGGCACACTCAGCTGGCTGGGTAAGGAAGCCACAGTCTCCTAGAGTGTCTCTGGACACCATAAGCCCACAGTTCAATGACCAGAGCTTCGTCTGCATGAGGGCCAACTCCTCAATGCCGCCGCCCCTCTAGTCTCTACTCCTGGGTAGGCCTCACAGGCAGACCAATCCCTGGGCAGCACAGAGTCTGGAGCAAGACAGAGGTGGGTTCAAACACTAGCTCCTCTCCTTTTTTTTTTTTTGAGACTGAGTCTCGATCTATTGCCCAGGTCGGAGTGCAGTGACGTGATCTTGGCTTACTGCAATCTCCGCCTGCCAGGTTCAAGCAATTCTCCTGCCTCAGCCTCCCAAGTAGCTGGGATTACAGGCACCCACCATCATGGCCGGCTAATTTTTGTATTTTTAGTAGAGAAGGGGTTTTACCATGATGGCCAGGCTGGTCTCGAACTCCTGACCTCAAGTGATCCACCCTCCTCAGCCTCCCAAAGTGCTGGGATTACAGGCGTGAGCCACCACGCCCAGCCCACGGGCTCCTCTCCTTACTGGCTGTTTGACTTTGGTCAAGTCACTAAACCTCTCTGAGCTTCTGATGTAATTAGGGAGAAAATCAGGGTCTACCTCAATGGATGCTGGGTGATGAAAAGTAACAGCATATCCCAAGGTGTGAAAGGCTTCTCGGCCCCTGCCTACCACACCGAAGGGGACTGATGAATGCAGGTGCCTTCCCTCCCTGCACCTCATGCCCAGTCCCTGCCTTCCTCTCGTTCCTAGGGATGGTCTAGTTGGACTTGTCTCTGAGGTCACCTTCCACCGGCACGCTGGAGGCTGGAGTGCTGCCCCTGCACCATTTCTTATGTCTTGTTTTTTTGTTTTTTTTGAGACAGAGTCTCACTCTGTCGCCCAGGCTGGAGTACAGTGGTGCAGTGGTACGGTCTCGGCTCACTGCAACCTCCACCACCTGGGTTCAAGCGATTCTCCTGCCTCAGCCTCCCCAGCAGTTGGAATTATAGACGTGCGCCACCACACCCGGCACATTTTTGTATTTTTTGTAGAGACAGGGTTTCACTATATTGGCCAGGCTGGTCTAGAACTCCTGACCTCAGGTGATCCACCTGCCTTGGCCTCTCAAAGTGCTGCGATTACAGGTGTGAGCCACCGCACCCCACCTCCCTTGCACCTTTTCAAAGACGCTCCTCCAGCAAACTTCTCTTCTCTTTTTTATGCCTGCAATTTTTCCCTATTAGATACTTCCCATGTGAATATAAACATTCTAGGCCAAATGCAGTGGCTCACACCTGTAATCCCAGCACTTTGGGAGACCGAGGCAGGTGGATCACCTGAGGTCAGGAGTTTGAGACCAGTCTGGGCATCATGGTGAAATCCCATCTCTACTAAAATACAAAAATTAGGCCAGGCGTGGTGGCTTACGCCTGTAATCCCAGCACTTTGGGAGGCCGAGGTGGGCGGATCACGAGGTCAGGAGATTGAGACCATCCTGGCTAACACGGTGAAACCCCATGTCTACTAAAAATACAAAAAATTAGCCGAGCGTGGTGGTGGGCGCCTGTAGTCCCAGCTACTTGGGAGGCTGAGGCAGGAGAATGGTGTGAACCCGGGAGGCGGAGCTTGCAGTGAGCCAAGACCGCTCCATTGCACTCCAGCCTGGGCGACAGAGGGAGACTCCATCTCAAAAAAAAAAAACAAAACATTTCACTAGGGAAAATTCCAACCATATACAGAAGGAAAAGGGGACAGTATAACAGCTGCCCATGTACTCATTACCCAGCTTCAACAATGATCAAGTCACGACCATCTTGCTTCAGCTCCTCCGCCTGCAACCATTGTTTCCTACCACTGGATTATTCTGAAGCAAATTTTAGACATCATATATATTTATCTCTGAAAGAGGACTCTTAAAAACATGCACTTATACCTCTATTACACTGACAAAATTGGTAACAATTCCTTTATATTATCAAATTTCCTTATTGAGTTCCTGATGTTCAAATTTCTGATTCTCCAGATGCTCCAAACTTCCAGAAACACAGATTCCCAGATGGAATCCTGGGGAAGGCTCGAGGAGGCTTTATAGGAAAGGTTGTAAGGTCACTTTTTTTTTTTAGACCAAGTCTCGCTCTGTCGCCCAGGCTGGAGTGCAGCAGCACAATCTCGCTCACTGAAACCTCCATCTCTCAGGTTCAAGTGATTCTCCTGCCTCAGCCTCCCAAAGAGCTGGGATTACAGGCGTGCACCATGATGCCCAGCTAATTTTTGTATTTTTAGTACAGATGGGGCTTCGCCATTTTGGCCAGGCTGGTCTCGAACTCCTGACCTCAGGTGATCCACCCAGCTGAGCCTCCCAAAGTGCTGGGATTGCAGGCGTGAGCCACTGTGCCCGGCCTATGCTCCCTTTCAAAAACAAAGCAGATGTGGGGTGGGGTGGTGGCTCATGCCTGTAATCCCAGCACTTTGGGAGGCCGAGGCGGGTAGATCACTTGAGGTCAGGAGTTTGAGACCAGCCTGGGCAACATGGCGAAACCCCGTCTCTACAAAAATACAAAAAAGTAGCCGAGTGTGGTGGCGCGTAGACCTGTAGACCCAGCTACTCAGGAGGCTGAAGTGAGAGGATCGCCTGAACCCAGAAGGTCGAGGCTGAGTGAGCTATGATCACACCACTGCACTCCAGCGGGGAGACAGAGTGAGACTCCATCTCAAACAAAACGAAACAAAACAAAATAAAAACCAAAGTAGAATGCGATTGAGCACCTTCTGCATACTCAGATCCATGCTGTGTGTGTTGCCTGCATTGCTCTTCTGTTCCTTACATCTGCCTTCTGGGGTAGGCTCAGAGATGAGTAAGCACGGCTACACACTTCGTGGCACAGCCAGGATGTGAACCCAGGTCTGTGTGACCCCAAAGTCCCAGCTATGAACATCCCCATATGCCCTCCGCAATGCCCCAAGATAGAGTGAGGGGAGTCAGCTCCTTCAGAGCTCCCTCCTTCCTCTTAGATCATTTCTAGATGGAAGGCACGAGTTAGATAGCAAGAGAATGAGCTATTCATTCCCTGTGGGTGGGAAGGAGGAGGAACCCGCTCCTCCTTTTTGTGGCGATGGGGTCTTTTTTGCTCAGGCTGGTCTCGAACTCCTGCAAGGGATCCTCCCACCTCAGCCTCCAGGAATCCCTTTTACTGAAAAGAGACAGGCTGAAGACTGCCTGGAGTCCAAATCTCAGAATGTGCTGAAATATCGCTGGCTGCAATATCCCAGGGGAGAGGCAAGCCTTCCCTAGCACCGGCTTCTCTCCCAGCTTATTAGCATCTCCTTGCCATTCCCTGAAGGAGCTCACTGCAGGGCAGACCTTCCTGGCTAATGAAAGCTGCCTAGCAACAGGGAGCTGGTTAATAAAGCCTGATGTTATTCCCGGCTCCACAGATTCCACCCTTCTCGAATTACAGCTCATCCTCAGTCTGAAGCAACCCTCATGTTGACCCACTTGCACACAGCAGGGCAGGGAATCTGGTGACTGAGGAGGCAGGCTGGTGTCTGCCCCAATCCCTGGGGGGTGGGGAGGCTGAGGTCCTGGGAGATATGATTGGCCTGAGAACCTGCTCTGCCTGGCCAGAAGCCTCTCTGTGAGCCTCTGAAACCTGCTCTACCAGCCAAAGGTTAAAATGCAAACTCAGTGCCCAATCGGAATAGGGTAAATAAAACACTATGGACCTCGGGCGGTGGTATGCACCTGTAATCCCAGTTACTTGGGATGCCAAGGCAGGAGCATACCTGGAGCCCACGAGTTTGAGACCAATCTTGGCAACATAGCAAGACCTCATCTGGAAAAAAAAAAAAAGAAAAAACAAAAGCACCTTCCCCTCCAGGGGAGGGGGCGACAGGAGATACCAGCCTATACTTTAATTCAACAGTAAGTCTTTATATTAAAATGAAAAAAAATCCAAAAACCATATGATAGAGAAAAATGTAAACTTGATGTGATGTTTTAAGATAAAAAGGATAAAAGGATATATCAAAGACCTCTCCCCAACAGTGGTAGTTTTTGGATTTTGTTTAAAAAAAAAAAAAAAAAATGAGGCCGGGTGTGATGGTTCACACCTGTAATCCCAGCACTTTGGGAGGCCAAGGTGGGCAGATCACCTGAGGTCAGGAGTTCGAGACCAGCCTGGCCAACATGGTGAAACCCCTGTCTCTACTAAAAATACAAAAATTAGCTAGGTGTGGTGGCAGGCACCTGTAATCCCAGCTACTCAGGAGGCTGAGGCAGGAGAATTGCTTGAACCTGAGAGGCGGAGGTTGCAGTGAGCTGAGATAGCACCACAGAACTCCAGCCTGGGCAGCAGAGTGAGACTCCGTCTCTAAATAAATAAATAAATAAACAAACAAACGAGACAGGGTCTCTCTCTCTCTCTGTTGCCCAAGCTGGAGGGCAGTGGTGCAATCATAGCTCACTGCAGCCTCAACCTCCCGGGCTCAAGTGATCCTCCTACCTCAGCCTCTGGAGTAGCTGGGACTACAGGCGTGCACCACCATGCCCAGCGAGTTATTTATTTTTTTGTAGAGACTGCATCCTGTAATATTGCCCAGGCTGGTCTCAAGCTTCTGGTCTCAAGGGATCCTCCCGCCTCAGCCTCCCAGAGCACTGGGATTGCAGGTGTGAGTCACCATGCCTGGCCCCATAGTGGTAGTTTTGAGTCCATTCTCCTAGCGCCACCCTCCACTGGCACGGAGGTGGCAGTTACATAGGTTCTGATCCTCGGGCCTGGGAACAGCACACAGAGAACCCCACCCACCCCCCTGCTGCCGCCAGACTGGTTTGCCAGCGAAAACTTCCACACAAGGAAAGTTTCTACTCGCAGGGGCCTACTGCATGTCCAGCTTCTGGACAGACAGGTTTAGGAACAACCACAGCAAACACTCAACAAAGCAATTTTCTAGCCAGTCCTAGGAGTCTTGCCCCTCCCGTTGGGTAACAGGAATGGGGATCTGGCTGCAAACTTTCCTGGGTTTGCCCATGGTCAGGTCTTGACACAGTGATTCTTCAGGAAGGCTCTCCAGGAAGGCTCTGTGTTTTCTGTTTAAATGTCTGCATTCTAAGAAGCTCAGAGAAGCTTGTATTGCCTAGGCCTGGCTCTCCTCAGTCACCCCCAACCCTCCTCTGCCAAGAACCATGGGTCGGTGTGGAGTTGAGGGGCCCAGTACACAAGGGTCCCTTGAAACTAGGGACCGTGGTGTCGCTAGGCTGGTAATCCAGTCTCCACAGACTTCACTCTGCTCTTGACCTCTCAGCACGTTCTCTATACTCCCATTTCTCCCACAACAAAGCTGAATTCGGACGTGGCTAGGACAGTAGCAAGGCACAGTTTAAGTCTGGATCAACTTCAGACTAAAAATGCATTTCAGAGCATTTTTCCAGGGACTGAGGGAGACTGGCACATCAGAATCTCCAAAAAGGCAGAGAGGGGTGGTGTTTTTGATCCATACCTTGCTAGTCTTCCCTCCCCGTCCCCCGCAAGAGTCTCTCGTGATTCCACCATGCAATGCAAGGAAGCTGCTTTGCAGGCAGAGGAAAAAGGTTGATAATCAATGCTTTCAACGAGCCTCAGTTTCAGCCCAAATTGGGATTTAGCTCACCACTGAGCACCAATTTTGACAAAGCATAAGGATTTCTCTGTCTGTAGGCCCTGAGATACCCTGGCCTGACTTAGCCCGATACTGTTGGAACCTCTCCTGCTCCTGTTCTCCGTGACTGTACCGAACCCAAAACAGAGGCTGCACACTGGCAGAGGCTGGCAGATGTCTTTTGTGTGGCCCACACAATTTTTTTTTAAATGGGAATTAGCTGTCAGTATTTAAAAAGTAGGAATTTTTTTTTTTTTTTTTTTTTGAGACAGAGTCTCGCTCTGTCACCCAGGCTGGAGTGCAGTGGCGCGATCTTGGCTCACTGCAAGCTCCGCCTCCCGGGTTCACGCCATTCTCCTGCCTCAGCCTCCTGAGTAGCTGGGACTACAGGCGCCCGCCACCACGCCTGGCTAATTTTTTGTATTTTTAGTAGAGACGGGGTTTCACCGTGTTAGCCAGGATGGTCTCGATCTCCTGACCTCGTGATCCGCCCACCTCCACCTCCCAAAGTGCTGGGATTACAGGCGCCCGCCACCACGCCCTGCTAATTTTTGTATTTTTAGTAGAGACGGGGTTTCACCAAGTTGGCCAGGCTGGTCTCGAACTCCTGACCTCAGGTGATCCACCTGCCTCACCTCCCAAAGTGCTGGGATTACAGGCGTGAGCCACTGTGCCCGGCCGAGAATTCTAATACTCTTCAAAGTTGCTTATCATAATACTGGCATGCCTTTTTTTTTTCCAGAGCATAGGTTCTGCTGAGAAAAACTGAGGTCAGGCTGTGTCTTGTAAACCTAGGAATCATTATTCCACCATCTCAAAGAACTGGGGAAACCTTCCCAAACGGACATGGTATGAACTCAAGTCCTACAAACCTACCTTCAGCCTCAACAGCCAAAGGAGGAGAGACGAATATTCTTTGAGTGCTTACAATGCTACGAACGAATGAACATTTACACACATCATCTCAATCCCCACGAAAGTTCCTTGAGGTGGGAATCATCAGTCTGTTTTTAGAGGAGCAAACTGAGGGTGAGAGAAGTTAAGAAACTTGTCCAAGACGACTTAAAAGGCAGGACGCCAGGATTCAAACCCCAGTCTGTCACTCAGACTCTGCTCAGAGGCTGCCTCTCCGACTGCCCTCCCACATGTTTTTTCTTCCTAGCTCTTATCACATGCCAAGTTATTGGATGACATATTTACTTGCGCATTTGTTTCCTGTCTGTCTCCCCAACAGAATGTAAGCTCCTGCGGCAGAGACTCTGTCCATCTTGTCACTGCCATTTCCTTGCACGGTGAACGGTGTCTGGCACCTGGTGAGCCCTTGGTGGGGATCTGCTGCTGGATGAGGGGAAGGGCAGCTGTATCTGCTGTGCCACACTACCGTCCAAAGCATCCCTTCCCTTATCTGTTCTTTCATTATTTTCCCTCCACAAACCCCAACACCAATCTCAGAGGCCAAGGAATACAACACAGAGAAGGTGAATGGTTCCCTGTCCCTTCAGATGGGGGGTTGAGAGGAAGCTGAAATTCCTAGAAATCCAAGAAGAGTCTGTGCGTAGGGATAGGCTTGCTCCTACAAAGCAAAAGTCTTCAGGCTGAGGAGGCGGAAATGGTTTATAAGCGACTCTCTCCTTTCTGGGGCTGGAAGGCTTGGCCACACTGAGAAGGAGGTGATGAGAGAGTCCCTTCTGAGGCTGGAAGCCTTAGCCACCTCTCCTAGCCCACGCTCAGGCTCCTTTGCATCCAGTCAAGGGCTTGGGGTTAGGATCATGGAGCAACACGGGTGGGAAACAAAGGGAAAGTGGCACAGAGCATCCGAAAAGCACAAACCCCTCCCTGAAGTCAAAATCAAAATCAGTCAGAGCACTGGTTCCTGAACTCAAATGACCTAGGGCAGCGGCTCTCAAAGTGGGGTCCCCAGACCTACTAGAATCAGAAACTCCAGGGTTGGGACCCAGAAATCTGTGTTCTACCAAGCCCTTCAGGTGACTCTGATACATGCTAAAATGTGAGAATTACTATCCTGGGGAACAAAAAATACGCAGATTCTTGACCCCTGAAGAACCTGATTTAGTAGGTCTGCAAATGGGGCCAAAGAGGATTTCAAAAGCTTCCAGGTTGATTTGGACTTGCAGCCAGATTTGAGAGCTACTGCACCTGAGGACTCATCTTTTCCTGGCCCCAGGCCAGTGTCCTCGGCTCTAGACCGACCTCCCATCATCCTTCAGTCACTCACTCACCACATAAAGCAATGATGTGGCTGCTGTCTTCATGCACAAACTTCCTGGTGACAGCCTCCTCCATGATTTGCTTCACCTGCGGACACATGGACAGCATCACTGCTTTTATTATTTTCCCTTATCAAAGACCTCTGGGCAAATAAATAGTTTGGTTCCGCCCTTCTGGTCTGAAGGGCACTTTCAGACACTTGCAGAGATGACAGGGATGAAAGGTGTGGGGAAGCAAAGTTTCTTCAGCACAGTCTGATTCCAGTCTTTTGGAGGGGAAACCAGGGAAAGAGATGCCAAAAACCCATCAAACAATCAGTGCATGTTCCAGCCCAGGTGGAAGTGCCCTGCCTTGGAGAACAGGAATAGGATGCTGTTTGCTCATCTGTTCTCAGCTCACGAAGGGCTTCTGGGCAGATATACTGTCCTTTAGAGACAAACCATCTCGGTACAGCCTGCAGATAAACAACCTGCCCCTCCTCCTTTTCTCCCTATTCTCCAAGGTTAGGGGTAGGTCTCATACCTCAGGGACACCCTCTACATGCTCAAAAGCCCAGCCTTCTTTCCATCTAGGGTCTAGAACTCTGATGTTTGGGGTTCCCACCTGGATGTAAAAGTTCCCAAATACCTTGTAAGGTAAACAGTCATTTTTTTTTGAGATGGAGTCTCGCTCTGTTGCCCAGGCTGGAGTACAGTGGCGTGATCTCGGCTCACTGCAGCCTCTGCCTCCCGGGTTCAAGCGATTCTCCTGCCTCAGCCTCCCGAGTAGCTGGGACAACAGGTGCATGCCACCACGCCCTGCTAATTTTTGTATTTTTAGTAACGATGGGGTTTCACCATATTGGTCAGGCTGGTCTTGAACGCCTGACCTCAGGTGATCCACCCGCCCGGCCTCCCAAAGTGCTGGGATTACAGGCGTGAGCCACTGTGCTCAGTCATTTCTTTAAGAAAGCACTTAAAAAGAAATCTTTTTAACTGATGTGCAGTAAACATATAAAAGAACATATCACAATTACACAGCGTGGTGAATTTTCACAAACTGAACACTCCTGTGAAATCAGCAACTAGAGCAAGAAACAGAACATGTGACCAACACCCTCGCCTCATCACCTTCCCTTCTAGTCACTATTCCCCCTAAGGGTACCCACTCTCCTGATTCCAACACGACAGTTTTGTGGGTTTTTATACTTTTTTTGTTTGTTTGTTTCTGAAATGGAGTTTCGCTCTTTTGCCCAGGCTGGAGTGAAGTGGCGCGTTCTCAGCTCACTGCAACCTCCAACTCCCGGGTTCAAGAGATTCTCCTGCCTCAGCCTCCACAGTAGCCGGGATTACAGGCATGCACCACCACACCTGGCTTTTTTTTTTTTTTTTGTATTTTTAGTAGAGACGGGGTTTCTCCATGTTGGCCAGGCTGGTCTTGAACTCCTGACCTCGGTGATCCACCCGCGTTGGCCTCCCAAAGTGCTGGGATTACAGGTGTGAGCCGCCACCACACCCGGCCTGGGTTTTTATACTTTTTATAAGTGGAATCACTCAGCGTGTAGTGTTTTGTGACTAGTTTCTTTTGCTCACCTGTGTCATTCTGAAATTTGTTCATGTTGTGTATAGCTGTAGATTGTTCATTCTCCGTGCGCGTTGTGTACAGTTGTAGGTTGTTCACTCTCCGTGGTGTGAACGTACAAACACCCGGCGTTTGGGTGGTTTCCAGTTTGGGGCTGTTATGGATACTGCTGCTGTGAACATTGAGGACTGTCTTCTGGTGAACAAATGTTTGGGATTTATGTTTCTAGGCAAGGAATGTCTGATGCACACACTTTATTAGATATTGCCAAATTGTTCTCCAAAGTTGGTTATACCACTTTACACTCCCATGTATGAGGTTCTGGTGGTTCCCAACATTTAACCCAAACTCTGTTGATGTCCTGGGAGAACCTGCTAGCAGGCAGTCCTAGTACTGGAGATTATAGAGATTACCTAGTGCAGAATGTTACACATAAAGTGAGCCTTGGGTAGAGCTAGTCTTCCCCATTCTTTAGACAGGAATGTAATGTTCTGATGCTGTCCAGGTTCCCAAGACCCTTAGTCAAGACTGTATAGTTTGGAGGGTGGTAGAACCTCAAAAGCCTGGGGAGGCGGGAAGAAGGACCTGGAGGCCCCTCCCTGCCGGAAACTGCTAATGGTTAGTGCTCAGGTAAAAGGGGATCAGATCAATTAATGCAAATGCACTCTAAGCTGTTAAAAGCTTCCTAGACGGCTGGGCATGGTGGCTCACGCCTGTAATCCCAGCACTTTGGGAGGATCAGGCTGACCAAAATGGTGAAACCCCATTTCTACTAAAAATACAAAAATTAGCCAAGCATGGTGGTGGGTGCCAGTAATCCCAGCTACTCAAGAGGCTGAGGCAGAAGAATCACTTGAACCCGGAGGCAGAGGTTGCAGTGAGCTGAGATCGCACTCCAGCCTGGGCAACAAGAGTGAAACTCTATCTCAAAAAAACAAACAAACAAACAAAAAAAACTTCCTAGATTACCTCCCAAGGATGTTAGCATTCAACAGAGGATAATGTCACAGCTAAAGACCTGGAGGCATCTGAAGCAGGCTGATGGGGAGGATTTTTGGGTTGAAGGATCTGCAGATACCCCTAGAATTATACCAGTGGTCCTTTGTGAAAGGCCAGCCTGGTCTACCAATATTCCTGTTGTTTTTCCTTGCAGAAGGGACAGGATGTTTCTGTAGAAATTAAACACTGGGCCAGGCGTGGTGGCTCACGACTATAATCCCAGCACTTTGGGAGGCCAAGGTGGGCGGATCACGAGGTCAGGAGATCGAGACCATCCTGGCTAACATGGTGAAACCCCGTCTCTACTAAAAATACAAAAAATTAGCCGGGCGTGGTGGCAGGCGCCTGTAGTCCCAGCTACTCAGAAGGCTGAGGCAGGAGAAAGGCGTGAACCCGGGAGGCGGAGCTTGCAGTGAGCTGAGATGGCGCCACGGCACTCCAGCCTGGGCAACAGAGCGAGACTCCATCTCAAAAAAAAAAAAAGAAATCAAACACTGAAGGAGGAAAGGAGAAACATGAGTTCAGAGCAGGTCAACTTTTGTCAGGAATGATACGTAGCTGTGGCATATTCTGACATTTCTCACATTTTCTTAGGAATCACTTTTGGAGCAGTATAGTCCAGTTTCTAAGCACTGGTGGAAAAAGTCATCATCCTCTTAAAAAATATTTCCTGGCGGTCGCAGTGGCTCATGCCTGTAATCCCAGCACCTTGGGAGGCCAAGGCGAGGTCAGGAGATCGAGACTATCCTGGCCAACATGGTGAAACCCCATCTCTACTAAAATACGAAAAATTAGCTGGGTGTGGTGGCATGTGCCTGTAGTCCCAGCTACTTGGGAGGCTGAGGCAGGGAAATCGCTTGAACCCAGGAGCTGGAGGTTGCAGTGAGCTGAGATCGCACCACTGCACTCCAGCCTGGCGACAGAGCAAGACTCCGTCTCCAAAAAAAAAAAAAAGTATTTCCCATTATCTGTGACTAACCTCCAAAATTGAGCCATATCTATAATCCCAGCATATCCACCTCAAGTGTAGACACAAGTACTTTTCTATTTTGTTTACACTGTTCAAGTCTCTGTCACTAGACTGCTTCCTTTTGCAGGAGAATCAAGATTTCTCTTTTCATTGGGGAGAGCAGAATTGGGCTTAAATGCTGACTTGATACACCCCTGGCCTAAGAAATCCTTTTTTGGGCCTCTTCACAGCAAAGACATAATGAAGCTTCTCCCACAAGCGGGAAAGCTGATGGCTTCAACTACATCTTTACCAAGGGGAGGGGTGGGAACAAACATTAGGGCCTAGTAGCCAGGCCATGGCTAACGCATGAGAACCATCTAGAGATTTCCGGGACTTTTTTTTTTTTTTTTTTTGAGATGGAGTGTTGCTCTGTCGCCCAGGCTGGAGTGCAGTGGCACGATCTGGGCTCACTGCAAGCTCTGCCTCCCGGGTTCATGCCATTCTCCTGCCTCCCAAGTAGCTGGGACTACATTCGCCCGCCACCACGCCCAGCTAATTTTTTGTAGAGAGAGGTTTCACCGTGTTAGCCAGGATGGTCTCGATCTCCTGACCTCGTGATCCGCCCGTCCCAGCCTCCCAAAGTGCTAGGATTACAGTCGTGAGCCACCATGCCCAGCTTTCTTTTTTAGACGGAGAGTTGCTCTGTCGCCCAGGCTAGACTGCAGTGGTTCGATCTTGGCTCACTGCAACCACACCTCCTGGGTTCAAGCGATTCTCCTGCCACAGCCTCCCGAGTAGCTGGGATTACAGGTGCCCACCACTGTGCCTGGCTAATTTTTGTATTTTTTGTTTTTTTCAGTAGAGATGGGGTTTCACCATCTTGGCCAGGCTGGTCTGGAACTCCTGACCTCGTGATCTACCCGCCTCAGCCTCCCAAAGTGCTGGGATTACAGGCGTAAGCCACCGCGCCTGTCCACTTTCCAGGATGTTATGAGAGTCCAGACGCTTCCCCAACCCTGAAACTCTAATTACGGCTCAGCTAAGGTAAACTTTTTTTTTTTTGAGACGGAGTCTCACTCTGTCGCCCAGGCTGGAGTGCAGTGGCACAATATCGGCTCACTGCAATCTCCACCTCCCAGGTTCCAGCGATTCTCCTGCCTCAGTCTCCCGGGTAGCTGGGATTACAGGCACGCACCACCACCCCTGGCTTATTTTGGTATTTTTAGTAGAGACGGGGTTTCACTATATTGGCCAGGCTGATCTCGAACTCCTGAGCTCAGGTGATCCACCCACCTAGGCCTCCCAACGTGCTGGGATTACAGGCGTGAGGTTATATATATATATATTAGGGAGACGGCATAGAGACTCAAGGTCACACAGAATTAGGTCCAGACTATTCCAAAATGTATGCTTTCCAAACACCAGGCCTCGAAGTCTCCAAAATCAGCACATTTATTTACCAAACAGTCACGGAGTGCCTACAGTATGCCAGGCACTGGATACAAGGCAGTGGACAAAACAGAGGGTCTCCTGCCCTGGTGGAGTTTACTTACCAGGCAGACAACAGCCACAGAGGCAGGCAGGGGAAGGAGGCCCAATGTATTCTAAGCTGCGCTGTGGGTTGGAGCTCTCCAGCTCTCATATGGGAGTGAGTCATTCACATGGTCACTGCCCCCCACCCGAAATGGAAATGGGCTTTTGGGCAGGGTCAAGGTAAACGGAGTTAGTAGAGGGAAGGACTACTTCTCTTTCTGAAGTAGGGGGGCTTCCCTCAAAAGGGAAAAACTTCCGAGTGTTAAAAACCATTCCAAACAAGCCCCTGGTCCCTGGCTAAGGAGGTGGGCGTGGAGGGAGAAACTGAGGTGTGCGGCGCACCCCTCCGGCAGCGATCACTCCGTAGCTGGAGGCACAGCGGACGTCGGACAAGGGGGAGCTCAGCCCGCACGACACCCACTTAGGACGTGGGGAAGCTCGGCCCGCACGACACCCACCTGCGCCGCGGGAGCTCGCGCGGGGCCCCGCCCCCTCCCCTGGCGGCGCGGGCACTGAATGGGCAGCTCCGGATCCAGCCATCCCCGCCATCGCCGCCACCCCTCCCCCGGCCTTGGGCTCCCAGCGCCGCTGCCGTCACTGGGCGGGGAGCTGCGGGGCTGCGAAGCAAACAAGCCGGGAGCGCCGGCCGGGTCCCCCGGGCAGAGGGGCGCTGCCCTCCCCCATCCGAGAAAGGGGAAGGAGGCGCAGCCCGTCCAGGACCCGCCCCGCCCGGCCCAGGTTCGGCCCGGGTGCCCGCGCCGGGGGGTGGGCGCGGACCTTTCTGCCCCCTGGGCCGCGCGGGCCAGGGCGCGAGCCCCCCGGGGTTCTTGACTCGACTTTACCTCCTTCTTCACGTTCCACAGCAGTTTCTCTTTGACTGCGTCCTCTGCGCTGCCCATGGTGTGGCAGGAGGCGGCGCCGAGCGGTCCTCAGAGCCCCCGCGCCCTCGCCGCCTCCGCGCCTCTCGGCTCAGCGCCCCACGCGCAAGGCGGAGCCCCCGCCCGCCGCGCTCCCGGCCCGCCGCCGCCGCCGCCGCCGCAGCCACTGCCCGGTGCTCGGCTCCGCAGCCATCTTCCGAGCCCCGCACAGACGTCAGGCGGCAGGCCCGGCCCCTTCCCACAGCCGGAGGGGGGTTGCGCACAGCGACGGGGGATCGGGGCGGGGAGAGGCCGTGCGCGCCTAGGGGCGGCAGACCCGGGCGCGCGCCACGGGGGTCGCTGTCATGGCAACGCACCCGCTCCCGCATGGAGGGCGCGAAGCCGCATTGTGAGCGCTGGCCCTGGAGCCCGCGGCCCCGCGGCTGAGAGCGAGCCTCGGTCCCGCTGAAGCTCCCCTGACTTCTGCCTGCTCCCTCTCCCGACGGGACGGAAAGGGCCGGGGCTCGGGCATGGGGTCCCCTGCGGTCCGAGCCTGCCCACGGCGAAGCCGGTGCAGCCTGGCCCCGTGACCCCTCTGAATCCCCGTCCGGCCGTCGCCGTGCAGTTGTCAAGTTTCTGGGAAGATTAGTGGGAGCGCAGCCGCCCGAGCCCGACGGCCGGAGGGTCGCGGCCAGTCCCCCTTGCCGGGTCGCCACGTCCCACAAGGTCCTTCCCGGCCGCTCCGTGGGAGGCGGGGCGCAGGTTGGAGTAACAGGGACGGGCTTGAGCTGGTACGGAACCGGGCAAGGTGAGAGAAGTGTCTTCCACGCGATTCCCAAGCCTCGCTAGGGAATCGAGGGAGAAGAAAGGTTGCTCAGAGTGATAAAGAACATGCCGTTGCAAACGGAAGAGCAACGTGCCCGAATCTAGGTGACAGGAAGGGCTTAGGCCTTTTCGGCACGAATGGAGCCTTCCAGTCAACATGCTTCTACGTGATGCAGCTTTATAGCGCAAAAAAATGACAATGCAAGGGGTACAAACAGCCCTGCTAGACCAACAGCCCGAGCCTCGACAGTCTACATCCGGCGCCTTCAAGCCCCCAACCACACACTGCGAAGTGGGAAAAGTTCCCAGCGCGGCTTGGCGAACCCGCTAACACGGCGCTCTCACGAGCTGCTGGAAAAGACCTTCGCGAGAGGGCGCAGGGAGTCCCGCTCCCTGGAGGGCCCGCCCCCTTGGAGGGGACCGGAAGCGCTTGTCCTGGCCCGGAAGCAGTGCTGACTCCGTACACGCGCGCTGCGGCATGGCGGCCCACCGCCCCGGCCCGCTCAAGCAGCAGAATAAAGCTCATAAAGGCGGACGGCATCGGGGTCGGGGATCTGCACAGCGGGACGGCAAGGGTAAGGAGATAACGTAGAAGGAATAAGGGCTATTTGGCCGTTATTAACTCTTTTTCCTCATGCCCAGACTGAGCTTCTGTCTCCCGTCTGGGCTCCACGCGAAAGGCCCTTTCTAAGGTGGGCGGAGAGGAGTCCCTTTTCTTGACCTTGTGGGGCCGATCACACCAGCCCCTTCTAATCTGCCATTCAGGCCGTCTGGCACTGAAAACCCTAAGCAAGAAGGTGAGAAAAGAACTCAGCAGAGTCGACCAGAGGCATCGCGCCAGCCAGCTCCGAAAGCAGAAGAAGGAGGCGGTGAGAGGAGCGGGATTTGGGAGAATGCGGCTTCTCTGGTGTTCTAGGTGGCTAATGCCTCGAAGTGGAAAATGAGACCGGGAGGAGGGTCCAGGGACAGAGCATAGCCCTAGAGCACGTGTCGAGCGTGCAGGTCTAGCATTCTTTGCTTTGGTCAGAATTCCTGCCACCCCGCTGGCATACCTGTGGTCTTTTACTAGAGAGATGCTGGTTTTGGGTAGGGGGAGCATCTGTGGGAGTGGAAATGCAATGCTGGAGTGAAGTACTGAGACACTGAGATGTTCTCGGATATCTTTCTATTTTCAGGTTCTGGCAGAGAAGAGACAGCTGGGTGGCAAGGATGGCCCTCCTCATCAGGTACTGGTGGTGCCCCTGCACAGCAGAATTTCCCTGCCAGAGGCCATGCAGCTGCTTCAAGATAGGGACACTGGAACAGTACACTTGAATGAATTGGGAAACACCCAGAACTTTATGCTGCTGTGCCCCCGCTTGAAACATCGGTGGTTTTTCACCTCAGCAAGGCCAGGTTAGAGTATACACCAATATTTTGTATTATGTTTGAGTAGTGGTATTTTTTTTTTTTTTTTTTAGAATAATGTGCTGGTGCCAACCACCTCTTCTTACTGTGTCTTCTATCTGCAGGGGATCTGCACGTTGTGTTAGACATGGCTAAAGTAGCTGATACCATCCTGTTCCTCCTTGATCCACTAGAAGGCTGGGACAGCACCGGTGATTACTGTCTTTCCTGCCTCTTTGCTCAGGGCCTTCCGACCTATAGTAAGTGAGTTAGCATTTATTGTGCACCTTTAATTTGTCAGGCACTATGCCTGGTATTTGATACAGGAATACAACTGATGGATCATATTCAGCTGGTGGTGGGATGTACACATATGGATTAAACTTGATCCATTGTTTACAGATTATCACTCAGGGTGTCTTTTTGTTTTTGGCTGTCCTTTGCCCAGAGAAACAAGGATATGAAGTTTGATTTCACTGTGAAATTCCTTCAGGGTAGTTCAGTGTTGGGCTTCCCAGTGATCTCTGGGCTTGCAACTGAGCTATTAGGTTGTTTGTGAACTGCAGAGGGATTTTTATGTAATGAAGCAGTAGGTCATGAAGCGTTTTCTCTTTCGCTTACAGCACTAGCTGTCCAGGGGATTTCTGGCCTCCCACTGAAGAAACAAATAGATACCAGGAAGAAGCTAAGTAAAGCAGTGGAGAAGCGCTTTCCGCATGACAAACTCCTCTTGTTAGACACTCAACAGGAGGCAGGGATGCTGCTTAGGCAGTTGGCTAACCAGAAGCAACAGCATCTTGCTTTTCGAGATCGGCGGGCCTACCTATTTGCCCATGCTGTTGATTTTGTTCCTAGTGAAGAGAATAACTTGGTGGGCACCTTGAAAATTTCAGGCTATGTTCGAGGGCAGACTCTGAATGTCAATAGGTTGCTGCATATCGTTGGATATGGTGATTTCCAGATGAAACAGATAGATGCCCCCGGAGACCCTTTCCCTTTAAATCCTAGAGGAATTAAACCCCAAAAGGACCCAGACATGGCAATGGAGGTAAGACTGATATTCTTAATTCATGTTCATATGAAAGTTGGCACAGGAAGGAAACTTAAATTCAGAGAAGATAGTCTGTACACTTAGGTGAATGAGGAGACTGCTAGTCTGAAGTAAGGCAATAGTCAGTTATAAATAGGTTGATAAATCACATATTTATCCAGCACTTTCTAGGTAGTCTGCACTGTGATTGGCTCTGAGTTTATAGAACACACTCAAGATGTGGTTGCTTTCCTCAAGGGACTTAATTGGGCTGGAACAAAATGGCATGTGTGAAATAAAGATTGAGATAGCATATGGTTAGAGTGCGGACCAGCAGTGGAAGTTGAGAAAGTAGACTAGCAAGCTTCACATAAGAGATCAGACTTGAGCTAGGTGTTGAGAAGGATAAATGTGATTTATGAGTTGAAGAGGGATAAAAGAATATCCTAGAAGATAAGAGACAGAATGAACCTAGGCACAGTGGTGGATCAAAGGGTTTATGTGAACCTTGAAGAAATCAGCTTGATGGGAGTGAGGTACGTAATAAATGGATAGGAGTGGGAGCAGATTAAGAAAGACCTCAAGAGCCAAGCAGAGACTTAAAATACCCTGGAAATTAGAAAACAGCCATTGGAAAAGTTTTGACAAGTTTTAGCATTCTGTCGCACTCATCTTATACATGAGGACTGATATTTCTGGGTCTTTCTGGTTACTGTGTTAGATTTAGGAGATTTTTGGTTCATGGTTGACTATCACCTGCTTTTGGTTTTCAGATTTGTGCTACGGATGCTGTAGATGATATGGAAGAAGGTCTTAAAGTCCTAATGAAGGCAGACCCTGGTAGACAGGAATCCTTGCAAGCAGAGGTTATCCCAGATCCAATGGAGGGAGAGCAAACCTGGCCCACTGAGGAGGAGCTGAGCGAGGCAAAGGGTCAGTATTGGTAAACTTGTCTGTAATTCATCTGACCTGGAATTGTGGATTTTCTGTAGCTGTTCCAAGTGAGGGCCCTATAGGATAGAGTGGGGTGGGGGTATAGTTGAAAGTCTCTCCTCACCCTCAAATGCTGTATGTTTTCAATAAACAAACATTATACACAGTCTTGTTCCATTTCTCAAAATTACTTGTGTTAATGTTTTATCATGAACAGATAAACAACTTTGGATTCATTGCAGGGCTTATTTAGCTGTGTAAGTATTGCTAGTTGTGAGGCAGCTGAATTAAATTTGGAAGTAGTTCTATTTACAGTGTCTGCCAGAATTTCCCATGTTGGCAGCAGTATCTGGTGCCTTGCCTAGGTGAGAATAACCAGAGGGATAGGGAAAAGAAGTCTGTAATTTACTTAATTTGTTTGGGCTTTTACAGATTTCTTGAAGGAAAGTTCTAAGGTGGTAAAGAAGGTCCCCAAAGGAACATCCAGTTACCAAGCTGAATGGATTTTGGATGGTGGCAGCCAAAGTGGTGGGGAAGGAGATGAATATGAATATGATGATATGGAACATGAGGATTTTATGGAGGAGGAATCTCAGGTAAGGAAATGAGGCCTTAGGCCAATTCTGTGTCTAGCTCCAAATGTAAGGCAAAGTGCAGGTGTGATCTTGATGGGTGTGTGTGGTTAGTTTCTTTTTTTTATTTTTTTTATTTTTTTTTTATGAGACGGAGTCTTGCTCTGTTGCTCAGGCTGGAGTGCAGTGGTGCGATCTGGGCTCACTGCAAGCTCTCCCTCCTGGGTTCACGCCATTCTCCTGCCTCAGCCTCCTGAGTAGCTGGGACTACAGGCGCCCACCACCATGCCTGGCTAATTTTTTTGTATTTTTAGTAGAGACGGGGTTTCACTGTGTTAGCCAGGATGGTCTCAATCTCCTGACCTCATGATCCGCCTGCCTTGGCCTCCCAAAGTGCTGGGATTACAGGCGTGAGCCACCGCACCCGGCCGTGTATGGTTAGTTTCTTAGGAATGACTCTGTAGTTGCCAGGAATGAGGCTTTTGTTTTATACTTTAGACTGTATTAGAATTTATGTTGGTTGGGAATAGGGATCTAGTACAATTATTTTACTCTTAGCTTATTGGCCTTTGGGGTAGAGACAGGTGTGGATTTCTTCTGAAAAAACTGTAATCCTATTCTACAGGATGAGAGTAGTGAAGAAGAGGAAGAATATGAAACTATGACTATTGGGGAGTCTGTGCATGATGATCTGTATGATAAGAAAGTAGATGAAGAAGCTGAGGCAAAAATGTTGGAGAAATATAAACAAGAAAGACTGGAAGAGATGTTTCCAGATGAAGTGGACACGCCCCGTGATGTGGCTGCTCGAATTCGGTTAGTCAACAAGTCTATCAACAAATCTAAATTCAGTCAATACGTTTTTAAAAACTTGGCTCAGAGCTGTGTCACTGTGATGCAAAAGAAGAAAAACACATTTTTTCTGCTCCTGAAGAGCTAACATTTAATATGGGAAGGCAGGACATACATACGGGAAATGGTCATATGTAATTAAGTTCTAGACTGTGGTGCAGACTCACGTTACAGGACTTGAATGAAGGGGAAATACTAAGGTTAATTAGCAAATACTTCTTCCCAAAGGAGCCAGTACTCAATTGAAGTATATAATGTTTGGAAATTTTAGGGGGTTTGGGTAGAATAGCAGAAGTAGAAGAGTGAAGAAGTAGATGATTATATCTGTTCTGGAGGTGAGTGACTAAAGCCAGTGAATTAATTTTGGATATTAGGAGGTAAGGCTATGTATTAGGCCATTCTCGCATGGCTATAAAGAAGTACCAGAGACTGCATAATTTATAAAGAAAAGAGATTTAATTGGGTCATGGTCCTGCAGACTGTACAGGAAGCATGGTGTTGGCATCTGCTCAGCTTCTGGGGGTGTCCTCAAGAAACTTACAATCATGGCAGAAGGTGGAGGGGGAGCAAGTCATGTCACACGGCCAGCGCAGTAACGAGAGCAAGGCAGGAGGTGCTACACACTTTAAACAACTAGATCTCATGAGAACTCACTCAACAAGGAGGGTGGTGCTAACCCACTCATGAGAAAACCTCTCCCCTAATGCAGTCACCTCCCACCAGGCTCCACCTCCAACACTGGGGATTGTATTTCAGTATGAGATTGGGGCAGGGAGACACATCTGAACTGTATCAGGCCATTACCAAGCATCTTTTTTGTCAGTGAGAAGCTTGGGTTTGGTTCCGATAGAACTTGTTATAAGCTGTTCGGAGTGTCGTCTTGGTTTAAGCTGTTGGGTTGTTTGGAGAGAGGATGATTGGAGTTCTTTTCAGCTAGCTCCTTAGCCATTTTAGCAGTGACTTGAGTCTATATAGCACCATATAAATCTGACTTAATGTCTTTAAAAATCTTCAATATTCTAGATTTCAGAAATACAGAGGCCTTAAGAGCTTCCGGACATCTCCATGGGATCCTAAGGAAAACCTTCCTCAAGATTATGCTCGAATATTTCAGTTTCAGAACTTTACTAACACTAGGAAAAGCATCTTTAAAGAGGTTGAAGAAAAAGAGGTTGAAGGAGCTGAGGTATCTATCCTCCTTGTTCATCTTGTATGTTGCTTTCATTTGTCAACATGCTCCCTACTTTATTCCTTCTCTTGGCATGAAAATATGCTGCATTTGGGGATTAGGGGAGCCCCTGAGTCATTGATTAGAATGATACTGGGAACAAAGAGGTATCAGCTATGTTAAATGAAAAAGTGTGATCTGGGTAAATGAAGCATCTTGAAGGATGAGGGTTGGCTTTAAAAATTTTATCTGAGAGACTCAACATATTTGGAGAAAGCTTCCTCGCTATTGGGACTTTGAAAGGTAACTCCATGATTGCTTTCTGCTTTCTTGTGGCAGGTTGGCTGGTATGTCACACTTCATGTCTCTGAAGTCCCCGTCTCAGTGGTCGAGTGCTTCAGGCAAGGAACACCCTTGATTGCATTTTCTTTACTACCTCATGAACAGAAGGTAAATTGCTGTCTTGTGGGAAAATGGGGGGTTGTGAAACTTTCCAGCTGCTTCTGACAGTCTAAAATTCTGTTTATGTGTGACTAAAATTTTGCTCATTGGGATGCAAAAAGTCTGCCTTTATGATTAGGAATTGGAGAATAATAGAGAAGTCAATGATGGTTTTATTCATATCGTCTGAACCTGTCTGAAGCATCTCAGTGATGCAATCTCTGTGTGGTTCTGAGACTTCTCCAAGTATGTTTTTCAGACCAGATTTTGAATAAGGGTTGGCAGCCTTAAAAATAAAGGTTTGGCTGGGCGCGGCGGCTCACGCCTGTAATCCCAGCACTTTTTGGGAGGCCAAGGTGGGTGGATCACCTGAGGTCGGGAGTTCGAGACCAGCCTGACCAACATGGAGGAACCCTGTCTCTACCAAAAATACAAAATTAGCCAGGCGTGGTGGCACATGCCTGTAATCCCAGCTACTTGGGAGGCTGAGGCAGAAGAATTGCTTGAACCCAGTAGGCGGAGGTTGTGGTGAGCCAAGATTGCACCATTGCACTCCAGCCTGGGCAACAAGAGCGAAACTCTTATGTCAAAAAAAAAAAAAGTTTATGCCAAAGTGCAGATCTCTTTTCTCTTGGTGGCCAGTAGTTGTGTATGTTGTGGGGTATGTGATAGTTCTTTGATCGGTTTTGGTAAGGGCTCAAGAAGAAGGGGCTTGAATGAGTGTGGTTTTGAGATTGTGGTGAGTGAATGCCTTGAAGGCCACTGATTTTTGTGTGGCAGATGTTGAGCTCTTTTCTGTTAGGTGCAGGAAGGTAGGTTAGCATTGAAGGGTGCATGAAAGCTCTGATCAGCCTGTGTTTGGCTTAAATGCCAGTCATTGGTGGAGGTAAAGGATGAACCCGTGTTTCAGCATCTACACTCCACCATTAATTAGCATTGTCAGTTCTTAGAATGAGTCTGAATCTGCTAGTTTGGTTTGCCTTCTTTCAGTTTAGGCAATTGTATTCCTAGACTATGAAGATTTTTGTTTTTCTTACTTGGTCCCCAGATGTCAGTATTGAATATGGTGGTGAGGCGTGACCCTGGCAACACTGAACCTGTGAAAGCCAAGGAAGAGCTCATATTTCACTGTGGATTCAGGCGCTTCCGAGCCTCACCTTTATTCTCTCAGCACACTGCAGGTTAGCAATGGGGAAGCTGGGTTCTTGTCCATCTTGTCTTTTGGGAAAGTGACTTGTGGTGGAGGGGTGCCAAAATATATGGTTTCAAAATCTTACATCTCTGGGTTAGAGGTATTTTCAGTACTCTGGCTTAAGAGCCAATGATGTTTTTATTCAAAATGTCTGAACCTGTCTGAAGCATCCCAGTGATGCAACTTCTGTGTGATACTGAGGCTTTTTTGCCATGAGTATTTGTTCCATAGCAGGTTTTGAATAGAAGTTGGCAGCTTTATAAAAAGGGTATTAGGGTGGGTGCAGTGGTGCAGTGGTTCACACCTGTAATCCCAACACTTGTGGCATTAGAACGGGGAATTGAAGACCAAAAAAGGTAAGATTTAATCTTGTTTTTGTTTCTGTTTTTTTTTTTTTTTTTTTTTTTTTTTTGAGACGGAGTCTCACTCTGTCGCCCAGGCTGGAGTGCAGTGGCGCGATCTAGGCTCACTGCAAGCTCCGCCTCTCAGGTTTACTTACACCATTTTCCTGCCTCAGCCTCCCAAGTAGCTGGGACTACAGGCGCCCGCCACCATGCCCAGCTAATTTTTTGTATTTTTAGTAGAGACGGGGTTTCACCGTGTTAGCCAGGATGGTCTCTATCTCCTGACCTCGTGAGCCGCCCGCCTCAGCCTCCCAAAGTGCTGGGATTACAGGTGTGAGCCACCGCGCCCCCTCTTGTTTTTTTTGTTTTTTTTTGTTTGTTTGTTTGTTTGTTTTTTTGGAGACGGAGTCTTACTCCGTTGCCCAGGCTGGAGTGCAATAGCGTGATCTCGGCTCACTGCAACCTCCGCCTCCCGGGTTCAAGCAATTCTCCTGCCTCAGCCTCCCGAGTAGAGTAGTTGGGACTACAGGCATGCACGACCATGCCCAGCTAATTTTTGTATTTTTAGTAGAGATGGGGTTTCACCATGTTGGGGTTTAGTAGAGATGGGGTTTCACCAAGACCAGGAGTTCAGGCTGGTTTTGAACTCCTGGTCTCAGGTGATCCGCCCACCTCGGTCTCCCAAAGTGCTGGGATTACAGACATGAGCCAATGTGCCTGGCCTCTTTTTTTTTTTTTTTTTTTTTGAGACCGAGTCTCACTCTGATGCTCAACTGGAGTGCAATGGTGCAATCCAGGCTCACTGCAACCTCTGCCTTCCAGGTTCAATCAGTTTTCCTGCCTCAGCTTCCCGAGTAGCTGAGATTACAGGCACCCGCCACCACGCCTAGCTAATTTTTGTATTTTTAGTAGAGACGGGGTTTCACCATGCTGGCCAGGCTGGTCTCGACCTTAGGCGATCCTCCTGCCTTGGCCTTCCAAAGTGCTGGGATTACAGGCGTGAGCCACTGCGCCTGGCCAGTCATTCTTTTATTGTTTCAAAATGGTTTTGATTTTTTTTTTTAGGATGAACTATTTTCATATTTTATACAGTTGGGAAAATAAGGAATAATGTAAAAGTAAAATTACCTTATATTAGAGAAAATTCATTTTTATTTTATACATTTTCATCCAGATCTCATTTTTTTTCTTTACACAATTTGGATTGTAATTGTAAATATGGTGTTAAACATTGCATTTATCACTTAATTGATTTTGATCAATTTTCCATAAGATTAATTAGTTAATGAGACTTTTAATGCTTTATTGTCATTTGGATATATTCCAGTGTATGTGATGTACTGATACTTATTTGAGCTTCTACGGGTGAGCACTTAGGCTATTTCTAATGTTTTGCTCTAAACTAGATCTGTATGCATAAAACTTTATTTACTTCTTTGCTTATTTTGTAAAGGCAGATCCTTAGAACTGGAACTAAATAAAAGTCTCAGTTGCAGAGACTGAGGCAGGAGGATCGCTTGAGGTCAGGAGTGTGAGACTCCGGTCTCTACAATTTTTTTTTTTTTTTTTTTGATATAGAGTCCAACTCTGTCACCAAGGCTGGAGTGCAGTAACATGATCTCAGCTCATTGCAGCCTCCCCGTCCCAGGTTCAAGTGATTCTGGCGCCTCAGCCTCCCAAGTAGCTCGGACCATAGGTGTCTGCCACCACGCCCAGCTACTTTTTGTATTTTTAGTAGAGATGGGGTTTCACCAAGTTGGCCAGTCTGTTCTCAAACTCTTGACCTCAGGTGATCCACGTGCCTTGGCCTCCCAAAGTGCTGGGATTTATAGGGATGAGCCAACATGCCCGGCCTCTACGAAAAAAAAATTTTTTTTTTTGGGAGATGGAGTTTCACTCTTGTTGCCCAGGCTGGAGTGCAGTGGCAGGATCTTGGCTCACTGCAACCTCTGCCTCCTAGGTTCAAGTGATTCTCCTGCCTCAGCCTCCCAAGCAGCTGGGATTACAGGCGTGTACCACCATGCCTAGCTAATTTTTCTATTATTAGTAGAGATAGAGTTTCACCATCTTGGCCAGGCTGGTCTCAAACTCCCGACCTCAGGTGATCCACCCGCATTGGCCTCCCAAAGTGCTGGGATTACAGGCATGAGCCACTGCGCCCGGCCAAAAATTTTTCTTTTTAATTAGCCAGGTGTGGTGGCATGTGCTTTGCAGTCCCAGCTACTTGGGAGGCTGAGGCAAGAGGGATTGCCTGAGCCAGTGGGCCCAGGAGTTTGAGGCTCCAGTGAGCTGTGTTCACACCACAGCCCTTAAAATATTTTATTTTCCTATAAGTTTAGTATTTTTAAAAGGGGGGTGAGGGCTACATTGAAGGTAGAACACCAAATACAGTCTAGCCTAGATAGCAGAGTGAGACACTGTCTCTCAGAATTTAAAAGGGTGTGATAAAGTGTGGAAACTTTGATGTCTAGTGTGCCAAGGGCAGTGTGGGTGAAGGAATGGAGGCTGGGTATGGCTCATAGTTGGGTAAAGCAGAGGTAGGGGTCCTGAGATACTGAGAGACTACTGGACGGGACTTGCAGCAGAAATGATTGTCTCCTACACAGTAGGAGCAGGAAGATATGTTGCCCACTAACTTGGGGGCTTCTGAACATCGTCCTAGTTCACTCACTCTCAGCAGTGGCAGGAGGAATATGAAGAAAGCAGTATTAATGGTGTTTTGGATAATTTTTATTCTCACCAATTGTGAGAATCACAATCTCTAAGTGAGATTAATTTTTCTTTGCCTTAAAATATTTTATTTTCCTTTAAGTTTAGTATTTTAAAAAGGAGGTGAGGGCTACCTTGAAGGTAGAACATCAAATACAGTCTAGGCTCCAAGATTCTGACTCCAGATAAAAAAGTTACTGATCAGGCACCTGCAATTCCAGCTATTCGGGAGCCTGAGGCAGAAGAATCACTTGAACCTGGGAGGTGGAGGTTGCAGTGAGCAGAGATGGCACCATTGTACTCCAGCCTGGGCAACAAGAGCGAGACACCATCTCAAAATAAATAAATAAATAAAAAGTTACTGATACAGCCTGGCGCGGTGGCTCACGCCTGTAATCCCAGCACTTTGGGAGATTGAGGTGGGTGGATCACAAGGTGAGGAGTTCGAGACCAGCCTGGCCAACATGGTGAAACCCGGTCTCTACTAAAAATACAAAAATTAGCCGGGCGTGGTGGCATGTGCCTGTAATCCCAGCTACTCAGGAGGCTGAGGCAGGAGAACTGCTTGAACCCGGGAGGCAGAGGTTGCAGTCAGCTGAGATCACACCATTGCATTCCAGCCTGGGTGACAGGAACGATACTCAAACTCAAAAAAAAAGAAAAAAAAAAAGTTACTGATAGGACTAGATCGTATCTTTTAGGTGCATTGAGGCAGCGAAAATTTTTGAGAACTGGTGGTTTAGAGAAGTAGAAGCTGCCATAGGTTTAAGAGTTGCACTAATACAGCTTTTCACAGGCCTCTATCACCTCTGGTTTCTCAAAATGGTTTTGCTTTTCATTTTTTAACCCTTATGGCAGCGGACAAACATAAATTGCAGAGATTCCTGACTGCTGACATGGCCCTGGTGGCGACAGTCTATGCGCCAATCACTTTTCCTCCTGCATCTGTGCTGCTTTTCAAGCAAAAAAGCAATGGTAAGTTGAGCCACAGAGATGAACAGACCCTGCAGGTCCTTAATAGATGAACACCGTTTTCTCTTGTTTATTTAAATTTGGGAGCCAAATGGTATGGAGAAGGTAATGATGGTTTTCAAAATACAGTAAGTCTTCATTTAACATTGTTAATAGAACAATGAAAACTCCAACTTTTACGTGAAACAGTGTATAGCCAGTCCTCAAATAACTGCCTTTTGTTCAACATCCTTTCCTTGTAACAACTGATGAGAAAAAGTATGGTTTTGTTATACATCATTTCTCTTGAAGTACAAGTTTTCAAGAACCTATTGACAAGGTTAAGTGTGGGCTTACAGTTTACCAATCTTAGCCTCAGATTGGGCTAGGGCAGGGATGACAAACCAGGCTCTTGCATGGGTCTTTAAATGGACTGGGCAATAAATGAAGACTTTGGCCTGTAAATTCCTAAATAGCTTCTTTGCTTTTGTCCTTTAGGAATGCACAGCCTCATTGCTACAGGCCATCTTATGTCAGTAGATCCAGACAGAATGGTCATCAAGAGAGTTGTTCTGAGTGGTCATCCTTTCAAAATTTTTACTAAGATGGCAGTAGTACGTTACATGTTCTTCAACAGAGGTGGGTATGAAGGAGGAGGATGGGATCTGATTGCCTTTGTGGTATAAAGGTTGGGTTTACATTTTGTGGGTAAATGTTTCATCTTGGTCTTTAATGTGTTTGATTCTAAGAGGATGTGCTGTGGTTTAAACCAGTGGAACTGAGAACGAAGTGGGGCCGGAGAGGACATATCAAGGAACCTTTAGGTAAGGAAACACGGGATTTGAGACCATGTCTGCATTTCTGCAGTGTTGCTAAATGACTGTTGGGTTGGAAGTCATTGCTTTAAAATTTTCTACTTTTAATTTGACCGACTTGTTCTGATGTCTTTCTAGGTACCCATGGCCACATGAAATGCAGCTTTGATGGGAAGCTAAAATCTCAAGACACAGTACTGATGAACCTGTATAAACGAGTCTTCCCCAAATGGACTTATGATCCATATGTACCAGAACCAGTACCCTGGCTGAAAAGTGAGATTTCTTCAACAGTGCCTCAAGGGGGCATGGAGTAATGGATTCAAAGAGATTCTGTCTTACCGGTGCCAGTCAGTACTCCAGGGATGGGAGGCACAAGTTGTGATTGGGCAAAGTTTATTTTCTATGTCAGCCTGTCAGTCCACTGCCCCATTTTGCAAGACTTTTTTTTAGCCTTGACAAAATGTCTCAGTTAAGTATAAAAGTTTTTCCACTACTTAGTCCAAAAAAAACTATTAAATCTTAATGAAATAGCCACTCTCCATTAAGAATCTGATAACTAAGAGTTGACAATACTAGGAAACAAAATGTCTTCAGTATCTAAAGACACTGAATTCCCACCATTTCCTTTTCTGTAAATTAAACAGAAACAGACTGATAAGAAGCTGGCCTTTCAGCCTGCTTCACCCAAGTTATGGAGGAGGTTAAGTCTACATTTCCACCACTGAGCACAATACAAATGTTCTTTACTTCTGGGGAAACAGTTTGAAAATGTTGAGACAGCACAGCAGCCACTCCAACACCAGCTGTAGGTTCAATGAGTAGTTTCATCCTCTCCCACACCAGCTGGGTTGCACACTGTTGATATGGAAGGGAGTAGGAATTAGTGAAAGGGGAGTCTAGTTGGTTTACCTATAAAGTTCAGATGAGAATACGTGTCCAGTTTGAATTTTCTTATCACTGTGTACACACGCTTCCCAAAGCTTTTCTTTAATTCTGACTCTGCTTCTGTCAAGAGGGTTGTCATTAATACATCTAGGGTACCCTCCCATGTCATGAAGTTACCTAGTCAGGTTCCCGTGGGTCACTTGCTACTCCTAAGGGAAGTTTCTTCTGCCTAAGAAGTTACACCATGCTTTGCTATTTCTTTTCTTGCTGGAGCCTCACCTTAATTTCATCCTCTGTGACAGTGAAGATATCATCCACAAGGTCCCTGATAATAGGCCAGGTGTTCAAGCCAATGCTGGATTTGACACCATCTGCTATGGTTTCTGGAGGATAAAGATTGGGCATCAGTTTCCCCTTCAGCTTGGACTGGTAGCAGTCATCTGCATTTGAGGGTTCAGCAGCATATACCTTCACACTAGGTTTCAGAGCCTGGGAAGAGGAATATTAAGACATCTTAACAACAAACCACAACATTGCCTGCATGTCTAAAAGAAAATATGGGCCTGGTGTGGTGGCTCACACCTGTAATCCCAACACTTTGGGAGCCCGAGGCGGGTGGATCAGCTGAGGTCAGGAGTTCAAGACCAGCCTGGCCAACCTGGTGAAATGCAGTGTCAACTAAAAATAGGAAAATCAGCCAGGCGTGGTGGCAGACCCCTGTAATCCCAGCTACTCAAGAGGCTGAGGTAGGAGAATCACTTGAACTTGGGAGGGGTAGGTTGCAGTGAGCTGAGATCACACCAAAATGGGGTGGGGCGCAGTGGCTCACGCCTGTAATCCCAGCACTTTGGGAGGCCGAGGTGGGCGGATCACGAGGTAGGGAGATCAAGACCATCCTGGCTAACACGGTGAAACCCCGTCTCTACTAAAAATACAAAAAAAAAAAACAAAAAAAAACTAGCCAGGCATGGTGGCAGGCACCTGTAGTCCCAGCTACTCGGGAGGCAGAGGCAGGAGAATGGCGTGAACCTGGGAGGTGGAGCTTGCAGTGAGCCAAGATCGTGCCACTGCACTCCAGCCTGGGTGACAGAGTGAGACTCCGTCTCAAAAAAAAAAAGAAAATAGGCACAATAAGTAATACATTTCTGCCCAAGTAAGAGCCTTCCCTTTTGTGGATGTAATGAAAATATCTTCAAGCACTTTATAAATAAATTATATGTCTGATACTAGCCTTCCATTGCCTGGATCACATCTGATTGTCCTGGTAATTTGAGAAAAGGGTAGCCCCTTGGTATGGATAGTAGCTTGATGACATGGAATTCAGGGAAAAGACTATGATGGTGTCACTTGTAACTGCTTTTGTGCTGTAAAATTGTCATGGATTAAGAAGAGAGTTGGCTGGGTGCGGTGGCTCACACCTGTAATCCTAGCACTTTGGGAGGCCAAAGTAAGGACTGCTTGAGCCCAGGAGTTCCAGACCAACCTGGCCAACACAGCAAGACCCCATCTCTTAAAAAAAATAAAAATATTAGAAATAATAAATAGGCCGGGCGCAGTGGCTCACGCCTGTAATCCCAACACTTTGGGAGGCCAAGGCGGGTGGATCGCAAGGTCAGGAGTTCAAGACCAGCCTGACCAACATGGTGAAACCCTGTCTCTACTAAAAAAAATACAAAAAAATTAGCGGGGTGTGGTGGCTCATGCCTGTAATCCCAGCTACTCAGGAGGCTGAGACAGGAGAATCGCTTGAACCCGGGAGGTGGAGGCTGCAGTGGGCCAGGATCGTGCCACTGCACTCCAGCCTGGGCAACAGCGAGAATCTGTCTCAAAAAATAATAATAATAGTAAATAGAGTAGTGAGGCAGAGATGGGCCTTCATCTCAAGTCCCAAAGGAATAAGGGGAAGGAATGGTAATGTGTGCAGAATGTTGAGCACGTGTATACAGAACATTTAGGATGTAAAGTAAATCCTCTGCTTGAAGCAGGGAATCCTCCAGAAGCTGCTCACCTTAACTGTAATTGCTATTCCAGCAAGCATTCCTCCTCCACCTACAGGTACCACCAGTGCATCCACCAAAGGAACCTTTAGTGAAAATATAAACTGTAAGCAGTTTTATATTTAATGTATACATATAAAATAATTGAATATAGCCCAACAGCTTTACCAGTAGCTAAACAGGAAGAACTCAGCTATTTTACCTGGTTCAGCACTTCCAGGGCAATTGTCCCTTGTCCAGCTATCACTGCAGGCTCCTGGTTGGGATGTACCATGATGCCTTCTGTTTCTTCTGTAACTCTTTTTGCAACATTTTCTCTGGACTGAAAGTACATTAATTTAGCTTAATTGATTTGTATTTAATAGAGTCCCCAACAAGTTCCATTTGGTCATTCAGCATTTTATTGACCATCTACTTTTTTCACACTTTGTTCAGGTACTAGAGATATATATGTTAATAAAATATCCCTGCCCTCAAGCACGTTATATTGTATGGTAGAGATGGATGAAGTAAATATATGGTATGTCTAAGTGCAATGGAGTAAAATGAAGGAATTTATTTCATATAGGGTAGCCAAGAAGAGCCTCTAGTAAAGTGACATTTTAAAAGATCTGAACAAGTGCTGTGGATGTCTAGAATATTCCAGAGAGGGGGTAACAGTGCAAAGACTACAAAGTAGGAGTGCTTGGCCTTTCTGAGGAACAGCTAAAAAGGTTAGTATGGCTGGCACAGAGTGGGCAAGAGAAATAATAGAAGATGAGGTCAAGGCTGGGTGCAGTGGCTGACACCTATAATCCCAGCACTCTGGGAGGCCAAGGTGGGCAGATCACTTCAGGTCAGGAGTTCAAGACCAGCCTTGCCAACACGGCAAAACCCCGTCTCTACTAAAAATACAAAAATTAGCCAGATGTGGTGGCACGCGCCTGTAATCCCAGCTACTCTGGTGGCTGAGGCATGAGAATCTCTTGAACCCAGGAAGCGGAGGCTGCAGGGAGCTGAGAAGAAACTACCGCACTCCAGCCTGGGTTGGACAGAGTGAGACCCTGTCTCAAAATAAATAAAAAGAAGATGAGGGACCAGGCACGGTGGCTCACACTTGTAATCCCAGCACTTTGGGAGGCCAAGGCGGGCAGATCACGAGGTCAGGAGTTCGAGACCAGCCTGGCCAATATGGTGAAACCCTGTCTGTACTAAAGAATCAAAAATTAGCTGGGCATGGTGGCACGCGCCTGTAGTCCCAGCTACTCGGGAGGCTGAGGCAGAAGAATCGCTTGAACCCAGGAGGCGGAGGTTGCAGTGAGCCGAGATTGTGCCGCTGCACTCCAGCCTGGGAGACGGGGAGATTCTGTCTAAAAAAAAAAAAAAAAAAAAAAAAAGATGAGAGATGAGGTCAGAAAGATAGGAATGTTTGAGTTTATCCAGGGATTAGATGATTGCAAGAACTCTCGTTTCCACCGTGTATGAGATGGGAAACCAACAGAGGATTTAGACTTGAAAAGAGACAAGTTCTGGCCAGGCGTGGTGGCTCACGCCTGTAATCCCAGCACTTTGGGAGGCCGAGGTGGGTGGATCACGAGGTCAGGAGATCGAGACCATCCTGGCTAACACAGTGAAACCCCGTCTCTACTAAAAATAGAAAAAATTAGCTGGGCATGGTGGCAGGCGCCTGTAGTCCCAGCTACTCGGGAGGCTGAGGCAAGAGAATCGCTGGAACCCAGGAGGCGGGGCTTGCAGTGAGCCAAGATGGCACCACTGCACTCCAGCTTGGGCGACAGAGCAAGACTCCGCCTCAAAAAAAAAAAAAAAGAAGAGACAAGTTCTGACTTTATTAAATGGAGACCTCTGGTTGCTCAAAAAAGCCTGTAGTGTGGCAAGGGTGGATGCAGAGAGACCAGTTTGGCTACTGAATTGAATATAGGTGAGAATTGATGTTGGTTTGAATCAGAGTGCTAACGGTAGACACAGAAGCAGTTGGGTTATGGAAATATGTTGAAAGCAGACTGAGATTTGGATGTGGGGTATGAGAGGGTTATCAGAGAGGATTCCTGGCTGTGTGCAGTGGGTCATGCCTGTGATCCCAGCATTTTGGGAGGCCAAGGTGGGAGGACTGCTTGAATCCAGGAGTTTGAGACCAGCCTGGGCAACAGTGAGACCCTGTCTACAAAAAATAAAGGAATTAGGTGTGGTGGCATGCACCTGTAGTCCTAGCTACTCAACAGGCTGAGGCAGAAGGATCCCACAACATAGAAAGAGTCCATCTTTAACAACAACAACAAAAAATTTTCAAAAAAAGATGACTCCAACTTTTTTTTGAGTAACTAGAAGAATAAAAATTGCCATTTACTAAGATGAGGAAGACTGGAAGGGAAGCAATATAGGGAAGTAAGATCAGGAGTTTGGTTTTAGCTGTAGTTTGAGATGCCTTTTAAGACATCAAGTGGGAAAGTTAGGTAGCTGTTATATAAAAGTTGGCTGTTAAAGGGAGAGAAGTTGGAGTTGGTGTTGTTAGACCATAGGTAATAATTTAAGAAATGAGACTAATGAGATCTTGTGAGTGTAGATAGAGAAAAGGTTGAGCATGCTAACAGAAATAAAGGGGAAACCACAAAGGAGGCTGAGAAGGAGCAGCCAGTAAGGTAGAAAGAGCCATTGGTCAAATGAAAGCTGTTAAGGTGGTACCAAGCACTGCTCTCCTTACCTCATCACTAGGTTCACAGTATACAATTGACGCTCCGTAGGCTTGTATTGCAAGTTTTTTACAGTCTGGAGCTGTCTGGGGCACCACAATATAAGCAGGAATTCCTGGGAGAGGAAAACGAGAGGAAAAAGTCAGGAGAATTTAGAATAGAAACTTATGTGGCCAGGCACGGTGGGTCACACCTGTAATCCCAGCACTTTGGGAGGCTGAGGCAGGCGGATCACAAGGTCAGGAAATTGAGACCATCCTGGCTAACACGGTGAAACCCTGTCTTTACTAAAAATACAAAAAAAAAAAAAAAAAAAAAAAATAGCCAGGCATGGTGGCAGGCTCCTGTAGTCCCAGGCTGAGGCAGGACAATGGTGTGAACCCGGGAGGTGGAGCTTGCAGTGAGCCGAGATCCTGCCACTGCATTCCAGCCTGGGCGACAGTGCAAGACTCCGTCTCAAAAAAAAAAAAAAAAAAGAAAGAAACATGTTCAGCCAGGTGTGGTGGCTCACGCCTGTAATCCTAGGACTTTGGGAGGCCAAGGCGGGTGGATTGCTTGAGCCCAGGAGTTCGAGACCAGCCTGGGCAACATGGTGAAATTAGTATTTTGTATTTGTAAAATAGAAAAAATTAGCCAGGCGTGGTGGTGCGCACCTGTAGTCCCAGCTACTCAGGAGGCTGAGGCAGGAGAATCGCTTGAACCCGGCAGGTGGAGGTTACAGTGAGCCGAGATCGCGTCACCGCTCTCCAGCCTGGGTGACAGCAAGATTCTGTCTTCAAAAAAACAAAACAAACAAAAAAAAAACTTATGTTCATATTGCTTGCAATCAGATAGAGATTTCTTTGGAAAGTTACTTCCCACAGCTATCATCACTCTCACTGAAATTAAGGGCACTTTTCCACTCCTTTCTGAAGATCTACCCAGTACCTTGAGAAATCAAGTACCTTCCAATTTGGCAGCATAGGTGAGAGCCTGGCCATGGTTTCCACTGCTGTGAGTAACAACAGCTTTCGGCTTCCTTTCTAAAGCATCAGGAACCAAGCTTCTGACGGCATTGAGAGCACCACGAATCTGAAAAAGAGGGATGGTGAATTCACATATTTGATTAAAACATTGTTTTGGAAAGCAAGGAGCTTTTCTAGATTTTCTATCCTTAACATGCACATCCAATCTGTCACCAAATCTTATCGATTTACCTCTTAAATATCTCATGTGCATCTTTATTTTTTATTTTTTTGAGATGGAGTCTCCGTTATCCCGGCTGGAGTGCAGTGCCACGATCTCGGCTTACTGCAACGTCCGCCTCCCCACACTGCGTCTACCCCCAGGGCCGGGTTCAAGTGATTTTCCTGCCTCAGCCTCCCAAGTAGCTGGGATTATAGGCACCTGCCACCATGCCCGGCTAAATTTTTTTTTTTTATTTTTTTAGACCTAGTCTCGCTCTGTTGTAGCCCGGGCTGCAGTGCAGTGGCGCGATCTCGGCTCACTGCAAGCTCCGCCTCCCGGGTTCACGCCATTCTCCTGCCTCAGCTTCTCGAGTAGCCGGGTCTGCAGGCGCCCGCCACCACGCCCGGCTAATTTTTTTGTATTTTTAGTAGCGACGGGGTTTCCCCGTGTTAGCCAGGATGGTCTCGATCTTTTGACCTCGTTATCCGCCTGCCTCAGCCTCCCAAAGTGCTGGGATTACAGGCGTGAGCCACCGCACCCGGCCTTTTTTTTTTTTTTTTTTTTTTCCCCCGAGATGGAGTCTTCCTCTATCACCCATGGTGGAGTGCAATGGCGTGATCTCAACTCACTGCAACCTCTGCCTTCTGGGTTCAAGCAATTCTCCTGCCTCAGCCTCCCAAGCAGCTGGGATTACAGGTGCCTGGCACCAAGTCCCGCTCATTTTGTATTTTTAGTAGAAAGTGTTTCACCAAGGCTGGGTGCGGTGACTCATGCCAGTAATCCCAGCACTTTGGGAGGCAGAGGCGGGCGGATCACAAGGTCAGATCAAGAACATCCTGGCTAACACGGTGAAACCCTGTCTCTACTAAAAATTCAAAAAAAAAAAAAAAAAAATTAGCTGGGCGTGGTGGCAGGCGCCTGTAGTCCCAGGTAATCGGGTGGCTGAGGCAGGAGAATGGCGTGAACCTGGGAGGTGGAGCTTACAGTGAGCCGAGATCGTGCCACTGCACTCCAGCCTGGGGGACAGAGTGAGACTCCGTCTCAAAACAAAACAAAACAAAACAAAAAAGCGTTTCATCATGTTGGTCAGGCTGGTGTCGAACTCCTGACCTCAGGTGATCCACCTGCCTCAGCCTCCCAAAGTGCTGGGATTACAAGTGTGAACCACTGCGCCTGTCATATATTTGTATTTTTTGTAGACAGAGTTTTGCCGTGTGGCCCAGGCTTAGATCTTTTATATTGATAATGTATCCATGTGTAGCAAGTTGATACAGTGAATGCTTAAACTTGGGTCATATACAGAGTGATAACACTTTCCAATTTGCCTGCAACAGTTCAGGTGTCTGTTTAGATATTTCAGGTTGCTTCTTTCAGTCCCAAACATGTCCTAGTTTGGATAATAAATTATGTCTTAGTTTGGACAGTAAGTGATGGTATATATAATAAAGTCATGCTTTGCTTAAGGATGGGGATATGTTTCGAGAAATGCATGATTTGGCAATTTCATCATCTTGCATGCACCATAGAGTGTACTTATACAAATCCAGCTGTTACAGCCTATTACTCCTAGGCTGCAAACCCTGTATAGCATGTTACTGTACTGAATACTGTAGGCAGCTATAACACAATGAGAAGTATTTCTGTATCTAAACACAGAAATCGTACAGTAAATGTGTGGTATAACCTTATGGGACCAAGGACCACCATCATATAGGTGGTCTGTCATTGACTGAAACGTTATGTGGCATATGACTGTATTTTATGTATATATTATATATATGCACATACATATATATAAAAATTACTCGGATAAGTTATATATATTATCCTAATTATAAGGATTTATGACTGTGTAAAAGTTGCTTATCAACACTATGATGCTAGGTAAAACAAGGACTTGAAAGGAAAATTTCTGTAACCTTTTTTCCAGCTGTATAAAGGCATTAATTTACTTCTGCCTATCTCATTGGGTGGTCAGGAGAATCAAACTGATATGTGAAAGGGTGTGAAAACATACATGATACACTGAGAAAAAGGATTGTTACCTTAAAAGATCCTGTTTTCTGGAAGAGTTCACATTTGAAGAAAAGATTGCGCCCTGTTAGTTGATTCAAAATGGAGCTTGTTAGCACTGGTGTGAGGTGGATAGAATCTCGAATGTTGATATGAGCTTTTTCAACATCAGCAAAGGAGATGCAATACTGAGCACACATGGTTCTGAAACCCAGGAATAAGAAAGGGGTCAAAGCAAAGTCTGAGACAGTATGTTTATTGAAGAGATTTTGAAAATACGTAACAGAATAGACCTGGGGCCTGTGGTGTCATGTGGAAATTCTCCATTATTGGAGTGTCAGAATTTCCCTAAAAGAGAGTTGACTTAAAAGCTGAACGAAGTTTTTCTGGTGAAGCTTTGAGGGAAGTAACTGATGGTGATTACAGAAGGCTAAAGCCCACTCCCCACCCACACCACCCATCTCTTGGCACTGTTGGCACTGCCACTGGTCTCCATCTTCCTTTTTTTTTTTTTTTTTTTGAGACGGAGTCTCGCTCTGTAGCCCAGGCTGGAGTGCAGTGGCACAATCTCGGCTCACTGCAACCTCCGCCTCCCGGGTCAAGCAATTCTCCTGCCTCAGCCTCCCGAGTAGCTGGGATTACAGGAATGTGCCATCGTGCCCAGCTAATTTTTATATTTTTAGTAGACACGGGGTTTCACCATGTTGTCCAGGCTGGTCTTGAACTTCTGACCTCGTGATCCGCCTGCCTCGGCCTCCCAAAGTGCTGGGATTACAGGTGTAAGCCACCGTGCCCAGCTCCACCTTTCTTTTAATCATCGTTGTGAAGCTACTTGAATGAATTGGATTCAATTTTTATATTATTTTTAATTTATAAATTTAAATTTTTAATTTTTAATAAAAATTTAACAAATTATTTGATAAAGAAAAAATAGCTAGACTATTCCATTTAAATAACTATGTTCATTTTCTTTATTTCCCTCTGCATTTTCTTTTTTTTTGTTTTTTGAGATGGTGTTTCACTCCTGTTGTCCCGGCTGGAGTGCACTGGTGCAGTCCTGGCTCACCACAACCTCCACATCCCAGGTTCAAGCGATTCTCCTGCTTCAGCCTCCCGAGTAGCTGAGATTACAGGCATGCACCACCATGCCCAGCTAATTTTTTTTTTTTTTTTTTTTTGAGACAGAGTCTCGCTCTGTCACCCAGGCTGGAGTGCAGTGGCGCGATCTCGGCTCACTGCAAGCTCCGCCTCCCGGGTTCACGCCATTCTCCTGCCTCAGCCTCCCTGGTAGCTGGGACTACAGGCACCTGCCACCATGCCTGGCTAATTTTTTGTATTTTTAGTAAAGACGGGGTTTCACCGTGTTAGCCAGGATAGTCTCAATCTCCTGACCTCGTGATCCGCCTGCCTCGGCCTCCCAAAGTGCTGGGATTACAGGCGTGAGCCACCAAACCCGGCCAATTTTGTATTTTTAATAGAGACGGGGTTTCTCCATGTTGTGCAGGCTGGTCTCGAACTCCCGACCTCAGGTGATCCGCCTGCCTCAGACTCCCAAAGTGCTGGGATTATAGGCGTGAGTCACTGCGCCCGGCTCCTTCTGCATTCTCAATATACATTATGTAACAGTTAAAGCAAACATTTTATTTGCTCCTACATTTGACTCAGTTTCTTTACAATTTTCATAATTTTCAATAACTACATTAAGCTTCCACTTTCCACTGTGTCTATTGTAGCAGTTAAATATGAAGTTTCTCTATTTTTCCTTATTACAAAAGAATCTATATTCATTAGAAAACTGAGTTAATCTGAAAATACAGAGATACAAAAAGAACATGAAAATAGCCACGAAACCTTCCTACCTAAAGACAGTTGCTATCCAGTGGTTTACCTTTCCAGGCCCAACTACATATGCAGACAAAACTCTTTGGTAGGTTTGGTAACTTCTTTTTTTGTCAGACAGTATTATGAATATCAATGAATCTCATAGGTGAGTACATTTATCAACATTTTTTTTTTGTTGTTTTTTTGAGATGGAGTTTCACTGTCACCCAGACTGAAGTGCAGTGGCATGACTGTGGCTCACTGCAACCTCTGCCTCCTGGGTTCAAGCAATTCTCCTGCCTCAACCTCCTGAGTTGCTGGCATTACAGGCGCCCACCACCACACCCAGCTAATTTTTATATTTTTCGTAGAGGCGGGGTTTCACCATGTTGGCCAGGCTGGTCTTGAACTCCTGATCTTAGGTGATCCGCCCGCCTCGGCCTCCCAAAGTGCTGGTATTACAGGCGTGAGCCACCACGCCCGGCCCATTTATCCAACTTTTTTTTTTTTTTTGAGAGAGTCTTGCTCTGCCGCCAGGCTGGAGTGCGGTGGCGCCATCTCAGCTCACTGCAACCTCTGCCTCCCAGGTTCAAGCGATTCTCCTGCCCTAGCCTCCCTAGTAGCTGGGATTACAGGCGCCTGCCACCACACCCAGCTAATTTTTTTATTTTTAGTGGAGACAGGGTTTCACCATGTTGGCCAGGCTAGTCTCGAACTCCTGACTTCAGGCAATCCACCTGGCTCAGCCTCCCAAAGTGCTGGGATTACAGGCGTGAGCCACTGCGCCCGGCTTTATCCAACTTTTAAAATGACTTAATAGTACTTCTTTTACAAAAATACAATAATTTAGCTGGGGGCAGTGACACACACTGGTAGTCCCGGCTACTTGGGAGGCTAAGGCGGGAGGCTTGCTTGAGCCCGGGAGTGTGTTATTATCACGTCTATGAATAGCCACTGTACTGTGGCCTGGGCAACATAAGCAGGACCCTATCTCTTGAAAAAGAAAAAATAATAATTTTAAGTTTACATAGCTCAAATGAACATTTGGATTTCCTTTTGTTGTTGTTGGCTGTAAGAATGATGTAATGAATAGCCTTGTTGCAAGATTTTTGTGTACCTCCGTCAGTCCTTAGGGTAGATTTCACCAAATGGTATTTTGTATCAAAAGGCATACATATTTCTAAGAAATCTGATACCCACTGCCAAACTGATCTCCAGAAGGGTCCTATATTACATCAATTTGTACTCCCAACAACAGTTTTGATGGAATGATGCCTCTTTTCCTTCATCCGTCCTATATCATTTTTATGTCAATTTAGTTATGTCTAGTAGTTGTTGTTTCTTTGAGACGGAGTCTTGCTCTGTTGCCCAGGCTGGAGTGCAGTGGTGGGATCTTGGCTCACTGCAACCTCCACCTCCCAGGTTCAAGTGATTCTCCTGCCTCAGCCTCCCGAGTAGCTGGGACTACCGGTGTGTGCCACCACGCCAGGCTAATTTTTTGTATTTTTAGTAGAGACAGGGTTTCACTGTGTTAGCCAGGATGGTCTCGATCTCCTGACTTCGTGATCCACCTGCCTCAGACTCCCAAAGTGCTGAGATTACAGGTGTGAGCCACTGTGCCTGGCAATGTCTAGTAGTTTTAATTTACATTAATTACTAGTGATTGAACATTTTTTTGTGTATCTTGGCCACTTGTTCTTTTCTCAGTCTTTTTTTTTTTTTTTTAGATAAGGTCTCACTCTGTTGTCCAGGCTGGTGTACAGTGGCTCAATTATGGCTCCCTGCAGCTTCAAACTCTTGAGCTCAAGTGATCTTCCCGCCTCAGCCTCCCAAGTACCTGGGACTATGACTGTGCACCACCATACCCAGCTAATTTTTTAAATTTTTATTTTAGTAGAGAGGAAGTCTTGCTGTGTTGCCCAGGCTGGTCTCAAACCCCTGAGCTCAAGTGATCCTTCCGCCTTGGCCTTCCAAAGTGCTGGGATTACAGGCATGAGGCACCACACCCAGCCTTCTTAACACACCATTTACTGACAGAATCCTTTTCCTCTGAAATGCTCTATTTATCAAAAATTAAATTTCTATGAATGGTTGGGGCTATTGTATTTTGTTCCATTGGCCAGACTGCCAATGTCTTTTCCTATTATATACTGTATTAATAAATTCTCCCTTGATTGCTCTAAAATTCATTGGCTTTTCTCACATATCAATTCTTTCAGGTGAACTAGAATTACTTTATCAAAGTTGCCAGAAATTCCATTGTAAAGATGTATAAATGAATTGGAGGCATTATTTATTTACTGAGACGGGGTCTCTTGTCGTCCAGGCTGGAGTGCATTGGCATGATCTCAGCTCACTGCAACCTCTGCCTCCCAGGCTCAGGCAATCCTCTCACCTCAGCCTCCTGAGTAGCTGGGACCACAGGTGCACTGTGCCACCACAAATACAAAAAACGTCTGTATTTTTTGTAGAGACAAGGTTTTGCCATGTTGCCCAGGCTGGTCTTGACCTTCTGAGCTCAAGTGATCCACCCACCTTGGCCTCCCAAAGTGCTGGGATTACAGGCGTGAGCCACCATGACGGGCCCGAAAACTCAATATTTTTTAATGTCAATTATGCCCCCTCGGCTGGGCACAGTGGCAGGAGGATTGCTTAAACCCAGGAGTTCAAGGCTGCAGTGAGTTATTGTACCACTGCAAGAGCAAGACCCTGTCTCTTAAAAACAAAAAAACAAGAGAACAAAAAATAGTTGGCTGGGCGTGGTGGCTCTTGCCTGTAATCCCAGCACTTTTGGAGGCCAAAGCAAGTGGATCACTTGAGATCAGGAGTTCAGGAGTTTGAGACCAGACTGACTAACATAGTAAAATCCCGTCTCCATTAAAAAAACAAAAATTGGCCGGGCGTGGTGGGTCACGCCTGTAATCCCAGCACTTTGGGAGGCTGAGGTGGGAAGATCACAAGGTCAGGAGATCGAGACCATCCTGGCTAACATGGTGAAACCCTGTCTCTACTAAAAATACAAAAAATTAGCCGGGCATGGTGGCGGGCACCTGTAGTCCCAGCTACTCGGGAGGCTGAGGCAGGAGAATGGCATGAACCCGGGAGGCGGAGTTTGCAGTGAGCCAAGATCATGCCACTGCACTCCAGCCTGGGTGACAGAGCAAGACTCTGTCTCAAACAAACAAACAAAAAAATTAGCCAGGAGTAGTGGCATTTGCCTGTAGTCCCAGCTACTAGGGAGGCTGAGGCAGAAAAATCGCTTGAACCTGGAAGGCAAAGGTTGCAGTAAGCCGAGAATGTTCCACTGCACTCCAGCCTGGGCGACAGAGTGAGACTCTGTCTCAAAAAAAAAACAACAACCAAAAATCCCAAAAAACCATGCCAGGCCTGAAGTCTCAATATTTTTATGAATAAATGTCAATTATGCCCCCTTGGCAGGATGCAGTGGCTCATACCTGTAATCCCAGCACTTTAGGTGGGCGGACTGCTTGAGCTCAGGAATTTAAGACCAGCCTGGGCAACACGTTGAAACCCTATCTCTACCAAAAATACAAAAATTAGCCGTGCAGGTGGCAGGCGCCTGTAGTGGTAATTCTACAGTAAACAGTATGGTGCTTCCTCAAAAAATTGAACATAGAATCATCCTATGATCTACCGATTCCATTCCTACATGTAGACCCTGTCTCTCAACAACAAAACCCAGAATACAAAAAACCCACTATCAAAAATAAGATATATTTTGGAGGTTGTAAACAGTTAGTCCTCTTAGTTGCAAGTGATAGAACCTCAATTTGTACTACCTTAGTAGGCACAAGGTGGAGGTGTTGAGATTTACTAGCTCATGGAATCCATGAAGAAATGAACAAACCATGGTAAGGGGAGGAATATGGAGCTTCAGGAACTACTGGAACCAGAGATTTGACAGCTTCCCAGACTCTTAGTCTCTCACCTCTGCTGCTTTCTGCACGTCGGCTTCTTTTTCACACAGGCGAGTTGGTTCCATATGGAACCAACTGACACGTGGCTGCTGACAGCTCGTATGTTTTACATTTTATGGCTTCCACACTGAAGGGGAATTTTCTTTCTCAGTTTCAGTTAAAAAAATTCTGGGTAAGGACTCTGGCCCATCTTGGCCCAGGACCAGTGGCCAGGGTATGAGGTCACTGAAGATAACAGTGTGCAATAGTCAGAAGTATTTACATAAACATGAAAAAGAAACAGAATGAGATCTGTAACACAGTATCAATTAGGTACATTTAAAACACATACATACATAAAACATTACATATTATTCAAAGATACATGTATATTCAAAGACATATATCAAACACATTAGAGTGAATACCTAAGGAGGGAGGAAAGGAACATTAGTGGGAACTGGAATGAAGAGAAAAGATAAAATGAGAAAGGGCTTGTTAATGACAGTGTGAATAAACGAGTATGACTGGCTCAATTCTCTGCACCTGAGGGGAAAATAGCAAAATAAAGGAGTGACACAGGAAAGAAAACAAAGAAAAGAAAAAAGTACTTTTGAGTGGGAGTAAGGGGCATTTTCCAAGTGAAAATAAAGGGGAGAATGCTGGGGAGATGATTCCATACATGTTCATTATAGGAACAGAAGAGACATATCCTGATAGTGGATTGAAT